>NC_000005.10:99503746-99806776 GCF_000001405.40 Homo sapiens | reverse complement strand
CTCATTGAATGCACAGTCTAATTTAGAAAGAGACAAGTGAATAATTAATTTAAATGTTTGCCAGAAATAGTATGCTTGAGGGTTCTCAGGTTACTATGGTGGCAGAAAATAGTATTTTTATGGTAGACTAAGCAGCACAAACCTCCTTGAGGTTATAGTTAAGCTGGATCTTAATGGATGTGTAGGCATCTGTCAACTATATATGACCTTATTTAAATGTCAAGATTGTTTTGAAACCTTGAGATAATACTTCTTGTGTTGCTATTGTTTACAATCTGATTTTGAGGCTATATGACAAAGCATTTTGGAAGTCTGTTCTTATGCCATGCTCATCAATTCTGACAAGCAAATGATCAATTTTATATATATATAAAATAGATATATAATTTATATATATAATTATAATATATATTTATATATAATTTATATATATAATTTAAAATATATATTATATAACATATAATATATATAATTTATATATAAATGATCAATTTTATATATATATAGTGCAACACTGTATATAGATAGATCCTGACATTTCTATCAACTCAAAATATAAGCAGTATTAATAATTTAATATATAAATAGTGCTGTATTCTATGCGTTAGAAAGGTATATATAAAATTTGTAAAAATAATTATAGGTACAATATGTAAGAAACAAGAAAGAGAGGATCTGGGCTAAATTTGTGAGAAAGTGAATGTGAGTGAGTCAGTTTAATTCTCTGCTGTCATCTTCTTGAAATTACTGACAATTTTGTCTTTAAATTTGTGGTTTCAAAGTGAAGTTTGATGAGAAAATGGAGCAAGAAGCTGAACAGAGGAGATATGTACAATATGTTTTCAATTCCTTGACACCGTATTCATGTGTACTGTTTCCAATACCCTACAAGAATAAACACACAATTGTGGTATAACCACGATGTGTGGGAATTCAGCAAGACTGAAAGCAAAAACAAAGTGTGTTATGTCTACAACTGACCAAGTGAAGACTCTGACAGCCCCAAGTAGTCATGCTTTCTATTCAAACCAGATCTTGCTTTGAACGCAGAAAGAAGGCAAAGGTATTCTGATAAACACAAACAAATAAACATATTCTTTTTCACTCATGTTACTTCCCTCTATAGCTAACTACTACACTGAAAATTATGACATAGAGTGAAAGATAAAGACAGGGCAACACAGAGTTTACATTTTATTTCAGTTCTATCTTATTCATTAGTAAGCCAAATATAATTTTGGCAAATATGCCAACAAGTATCAAAAAGTGAAATAAAAAGTCATGCTAGTTTTGTCCAGTCTACTGTTCTAGTAAGAATAAAATACATGTATATGTATGCTGAGCTATAAAAAATCTATAAGTTTGGGGATTCCATATATGAGCTAAATGCTTTTATATGTGTATTAAAACTGTCATTGTATAATAAAAAATGAACACTAAATCTACATCATTTATCATGATAGATAACCTAATTTTTTTTTACTTAGAATAGTATCAAAAGCAAATAAAATGCACCATGGGCAACTAAAGAAAGAGATCAAAGAATGATGAAAAATGCTCTATATTTTAGTACCTTTAACAGCACATTTTTGGAATATTTGCTGCTATTACTATTTGTTACATGTTACCATTTGAAAAAGAGGTCTCAGATTTTTTTTCCACTGGAACCCACAAATTGGGAGCCTGGCATTAGAGATGAAAGAATGTTAATTCCTGTTTGTAGTAATTTTATTTTTTAAAGTATGAAAGAGATTTTGCATATAAGATATAGCATTGGCTAGTGGTTAAGGAAAGGACTTTAAAGACAGACATGCCTGATTTTTAGTCATAGTTCTACTACTTACTAGAAATTTGGAAATGGTGTAATCCCTCTGGGTTCATTTTTCTTATTTGTAAGCTGGGAACAGTAAGATTAACTCTTTTATAGTGTGAATGTCTACTTAGATTATATACTTATAAATCTATATACTTACATAGGTGCTGAGACTATGGGCAAAACTATATACATGGAAAGCTATTATCATTATTATTATTCTATGTGGATATAGAACTGCTTACAGACATGGTTCAAAAATGGAGGAGAAATGACAGATGAAAATTAATTAGGAATGATTTGATGAGTAAGGACTTTCAGAAAGAGGTAGAATTAAGCCCTAATTTTACAAAATAGTATGCTAAGTAAAACTTTATGGAAAGTGAATTGATCTGAAAATGATCTAGCCAGCCTTAAATAAAGAACCTGATTATAATCTGATCATAGAGTGCCTATGTAAATCATGGTGAAAGTGGAAGGCAATGTTTTGCCCAAAGATTCAGAATGCTTTTGGGTTAAATGTGTGTCTTGCAATAAAATTTGCAGACATGGGATAGGTTTTCTAAGAAAGAACTGAGTAACCCTTCATAGGATGTGAATAAGCACTGACTGAAGAAACATCTGGAAAGGTTATTATACAAAAGATCAACATCAGATGCGTAAACTATGTAGCAAGCAAAGTCTTTTATAAATTATAAATGTGGGGTGATAAGAAAGCTAAGTAAGAGTGAAATAAATTTATGAAATGTATAAATTGTGTCAAGATAGAGGTGATTTATGCATAATTACAGTTAGGTTTTACATAGTAGAGATCACGGCTAAAGGAACAAGAGATAATGTTAAGAAAGTTGGAGAAAGGTAAAAAAATCTAAAACATATACAAATAGATTCTCCCTGTAGATAATTCAGAGGTAAAAACAGTAATTGTTGATGAGAAAAATATTAAACTAGAACAAGTGAAGAAAATTATCTAATGCCATAAAAATATGCAAATAACTTCTAGAATATCATACCTCAGAGATTGCCCTAACTGTGGAAATATTGAGTGACAGAGAGATATTTACCTTGAAAGTAATTAAGCTTAAGGGACATAATTTCATCTGTCTCAACAGAACTCTAACTAATTTTTTTAAAAGGGTCAGAAAATTTTGTATGACTGAAGCTTCACAAAACGTAGGCCATTTAGTAAATATGTCAAATATTAAAAGTTTTATGTCTTACATTTAAGTCTTTAATCCATTTTGAGTTGATTTTTGTATATGGTGAGAGGGAGGGGTCTGGTTGCTTTCTCCTGCATATGGATATCCTGCATTCCAAGCACTACTTATTGAAGTGACTGTCTTTTCTTCAGTGTATGCTCTTGGTGCCGTTGTCAAAAAATGAATTGACAGTAAATGTGTAGATTTATTTTTTGGGTTCTGTATTCTGTTCCATTAGTTTATATGTCTGTTTTTATGCCAGTGGCATTCTGTTTCGGTTACTATATTTTTACAGTATAATTTGAAGTCAGGTAGTATAATGCCTCCAGCTTTGTACTTTTTGCTGAGGATTTCTTTGGTTACTAAAGGTTTGTGGCTTCTGTATGAATTTTAGGAGGCTTTTTCTATTTCTGTGAAGAATGTCATTGATCTTTCTATAGAGATTGCATTGAATCTGCAGATCACTTTGGGTAATTGGATATTTTAACAATATTAAGTTTTCTAATCCATGAGCATGGAATACCTTTCCATTTTCTTGTGCATCCTATTCAATTTTTTATCAGGTTTTATATTAATAGTTTACCTGGTAGAGATTTTGTACTTATTTGGTTAAAATTATTGCTAGGTATTTAATTTCATTTTGTGTAGTTATTGAAAATTAGATTGCTTTCTTGATTTCTTTTTCAGATTGTCCACTGTTAACATATTGAAATACTACTGAATTGTCTATTCAAATTTTGTATCCTGCAACTATGAAACTTCTAGAATAAAACATCGGGGGAACACGTTAGGGCATTTCTCTGGGCAAAGATTTTTTTGGGTAAGACCTCAGAAGCACAGGGAACTAGATAAAAGTAGACAAATGGTATTACTTTAATCTAAAAAGTTTCTGCACAGCAAAGAAATAATCAATAGAGTGAGAAGACAATCTACAGAACTGCACAAAATTTTTGCAGACCATCTGTTTGACAAAAAAAAAAAATCATGATCAGAATAGATCAGGAACTCAACTTGACAAAAAATATTAAAAAATAGGCAAAGATTTGAATAGCCATTTCTGAGAAGAAAACATACAAATGGCCGTCGGATATCTGAAAATAATAACCCACATCACTAATCATTAGGGAAATGCACATCAAAACCACAACAGATGCTGGCAAGGATGTGGAGAAAGGGGAACACTCATACATTGCTGATAAAAATGTAAATTAGTATAGCCACTCTGAAATACAGTATAGAAGTTTATCAAAAAACTAAAAATATGGTTACCATATAATCCAGCAATACCATTGATGGGTATGTACCAAGAAAGGAAATCAGCATTTGTAGAGATAGCTGCACTTTCATGTTTATAAAGCAGTGCTGGCTGGGCATTATGGCTCACGCCTGTAATCCTAGCACTTTGGGAGGCTGAGGCAGGTAGATCACGAGGTCAGGAGATCAAGACCATCCTGGCTAACACGATGAAACCCCATCTCTACTAAAAATACAAAAAATTAGCTGGGCGTGGTGGCAGACGCCTGTAGTCCCAGCTGCTCCAGAGGCTGAGGCAGGAGGATGGCATGAACCTGGGAGGCAGAGCTTGCAGTGAGCCGAGATTGGGCCACTGTACTGCAGCCTGGGTGACAGAGCGAGACTCCATCTCAAAAAAAAAAAAAAAAAAAAAAAAAAAGCAGTGCTGTTCACAATAGCCAAGATGTAGAATCAACCTAAGTGTCCATCAATGGATAGATAAAAAAATGTGTTGTATATATTATGCAATGGAATATTATTCACCCAAAAAGCACGATGAGACTCTAATTTGTAGCCACATGCATAGCTTTGGAAATCATTATGTTGAATTACATAAAACTGGAACAGAGAGACAAATATCTCAAGTTCTCACTCATATGTGGGAGCTAAAAAAGTTGATCTCATGGAGATAAACAGTAGACTTGTGTTTAGCAGAGCCTGAGAAAGTAGAGAGGATGGGAAAATCAAGAGAGTTTGATTAATGGGTACTGATATGGTTTGGTTGTGTCCCCACCCAAATCTCATCTTGAATTCCCACAAGCTGTGGGAGAGACCTGGTGGGAGATAACTCAATCATTGGATCAGGTCTTTCTCTTGCTGTTCTCATGATAGTGAATAAGTCTCAGGAGATCTGAGGGTTATATAAAAACGGGAGTTTCCCGGCACAAGCTCTCTTCTCTTGTCTGCTGCCATGTAAGATGTGACTTTTACCTCCTGCCATGGATTGTGAGGGCTTCCAGCCACATGGAATTATAAGTCCAATAAATCTCTTTCTTTTGTAAATTTCCCTGTATTTATCAGCATCAGCAGCATGGAAACAGACTAACACAGTAAATTGGTACCAGTAGATTGGGGTGCTGCTGAAAAGATACCTGAATATGTGGAAGTGACTTTGGAACAGTTTGGAGGTCTCAGAGTTCGAAACTTTGTAGGAAAGTTTGGAAATCCAAAGAGACTTGTTAAATGGCTTTGTCCAAAATGCTAATAATGATATGGACAATAAAGTCCAGACTGAGGTGGTCTCAGATGGAGATGAGAAACTTTTGGGGAACTGGAGAAAAGGTGACTCTTGTTATGTTAACAAAGAGACTGGCAGCATTTTACCCCTGCCCTAGAGATTTGTGGAACTTTGAACTTGAGAGAGATGATTTAGGGTATTTGGCAGAAGAAATTTCTAAGCAGTAAAGCACTCAAGAGGTGCCTTGGGTGCTGTTAAAGGCATTCAGTTTTAAAAGGGAAACAGAGCATAAAAGTTCAGAAAATTTGCAGCCTGACAGTGTGATAGAAAAGAAAATCCCATTTTCTGAGGAGAAATTCAAGCCAGCTGCAGAAATTTGCATAAGTAATGAGGGCCCAAATATTAATCCCCAAGGTGATGGGGAAAAAATCTTCAAGGCATGTGAGAGGTCTCCACGGCAAGCCCTCCTATCACAGGCCTTGAGGCCTAGCAATCAAAAATATTTTTTTGGGCTGGGCCCAGGGTCCCTGTGCTGTGTGCAGTCTAGGGACTTGGTGCCTGTGTCCCAGCCACTGCAGCCATGACTAAAAGGGGCCAAAATACAGCTCGGGCTGTGGCTTCTGAGGGTGCAAGCACCAAGCCTCAGCAGCTTCCACATGGTGTTGAGCCTGTGGGTGCACAGAAGTCAAGAATTGAAGTTTGGGAACCTCCGCCTAGATTTCAGAGCATGTATAGAAATACCTGTGTGTCCAGGGAGAAGTTTGCTGCAGGGGTGGGGCTCTCATGGAGAACCTCTGCTAGGGCAGTGCAGAAGGAAATGTGGGATTAGAGCCCCTACACAGAGTCTCTACTGGGGCACTGCCCAGTGGAGCTGTGAGAAGAGGGCCACCGTCCTCCAGATCTCAGAATGGTAGATCCACCGATACCTTGCACTGTGCACCTGGAAAATTCATAGACACTCAACACCAACCTGTGAAAGCATCCAGAAGGGAGGCTGTACCCTGCAAAGTCACAGGGGTGGAGCTGCCCAAGATGATGGGAACCCACCTCTTGCATCAGCCTGAACTGGATGTAAGACATGTAGTCAAAGGACACCATTTTGTAGCTTTAAGATTTGACTAACTCGCTGGATTTCAGACTTTCATGGGACCTGTAACCCCTTGGTTTTGGCCAATTTCTCCCATTTGGAATGGCTGTATTTACCCAATGCCTGTACCCCCATTGTATCTAGCAGTAATTAACTTGCTTTTGATTGTACAGGCTCATAGGCGGAAGGGACTTGCCTTTTCTCAAATGAGACTTTGGACTATGGACTTTTGAGTTAATTCTTAAGTGAGTTAAGACTTTGGGGAACTTGTTGGAAAGGGATCACTGGTTTTGAAATGTGAGGACATGAGATTTGGGAGGAGCCAGGGGTGGAATGATATGGTTTGGCTCTGTCCCCACCCAAATCTCATCTTGAATTCCCACGTGTTGCAGGAGGAACCCCATGGGAATAGAATCACTGGAGCAGGTCTTTCCTGTGCTGTTCTTGTGATAGTGAATAAGTCTAATGAGATCTGATGGTTATATAAAAACAGGAGTTTCCCTGCACAATCTCTCTTCTCTTGTCTGGTGCCATGTGAGATGTGCCTTTCACCTACTGCCATGATTGTGAGGCTTCCCCAGCCGTGTAAAACTGTAAGTTCAATAAACCTTTTTCTTTTGTAAATTGCCCAGTCTCTGATGTCTTTATCATCAGTATGAAAATGGACTAAATATGGGTAAAAAAAAAATACAGTTAGATAGAAGGAATAAATTCTGGAGTTCAATAGAACAGTGGGATATCTGTAGTTGGTAATAGCTTATTGTGTATTTCAAAGTATCTAAAAAAAAGATTTTAGAATGTCCACAACACAAAGAAATTATAAGTATTTGAGATAACAGATATCTCAATTACCCTGATTTCATTACTGTACATTTTATGCATGTATCAAAACATCACATGTACTCCAGAAATATGCACAATCATTATATATCAATAAAATGATTAACAAGCAAGTCATATTCATGTGTGTTAAAAAGCCATGTTTACATCTGTCAAAGGGCATGATTATATATCATCTCCCTTTGCAACACCTCCTTAATGAGATCTTCTAAGCAGTTGTCTAAGTAACATTTCCAATAGCCAGCTCTCCATGAGGATAAGTCAAAAGGCTCACATTTTTAGGTACATTCATAGATTACTAGGGAGAAAATTTGATCATAGGCCCAGTCTGCATCCATCTTGATTATTGGTAATAAAGCTAATATTTTGATCATCATCATTATTTTATATCTAGTTACCAGCATCTTAATACCCGTAGAAAGATGCAGGGTTATGATTTAATTTGTTGCCAGAATATAGTCACCCAGAATTCATGGTACTACAAATTTTGGCTTTTATTCAATTAAAGTACTTTGCTTCCCGACTACTTTCCTGTCTTACATTTAAGTCAAAGTATACAATTATTTGATTCCAGAATAAACTTCACTTCTTTTCCACATCTATCTATTCAGACCTACACACTTAACCTCTATGTCAGAATCATTCATTCTTTACAGTTCATTTTTTGTGCTATCCCATCTTTAAGGTAATAACATTTCTTAACACATCAATCAAATATGATAATATTAAGAAGTCTGCGTTCCTCATTGTCCCTTGTATTATTACTAATTTGTTTGTAATATTATGCACATACATAGTCATTTATTTTAATAGATTGTAAATTCATTATTGACAATACTCAAGGCATTATTTTTCTATCTTGAGAGTTTTATACACAGCAGACATGCAATAAGTAAATGTGGACTCGATTTTGGGTTGTATTAGTCAGGGTTCTCTAGAGGGACAGAACTAATAGAATACATATATATAAATACATATAAATATAAATAAATATATATAAATATATAAACGTATATATAAATATATATATATGAGTTTATTAAGTATTATCTCACATGATCACAAGGTCACACAATAGGCTGTCTACAGGCTGAGGAGTAAGAAGAGCCAGTTCAAGTTGCAAACCTGAAGAACTTGGAGTCCGATGTTCAAGGGCAGGAAGCATCCAGCACGGAGGAACGATGTAGGTTAGAACACTAGGCCAGTCTCTCCTTTCACATTTTTCAGTCTGCTTATATTCTAGCCATGCTGGCAGCTGATTAGATGGTGCCCACCCACATTAAGGGTGGGCCTGCCTTTCCTAGCCCACTGACTAAAATGTTAATCTCCTTTGGCCACGCCCTCACAGACACGCCCAGGATCAATACTTTGCATCCTTCAGTAAAAAATTTTGCTAGTGGATCACTTGGGGTGATGGTGAGTTGTGCCACTTGTACTTTGGTGAGCTATAGCTTAAATTTTTTTTTTAATTAAACATTTAAAAGTGCAGAATTGTAGTTTTTTTACTTTTACAGTGGCTTGGGTAAGTTCACTGGCATTTATTTTGAAAAATAAAAAAGTAAATTTCACATTAGTGTCTGTACCTGACCATGTGATGTCATATTTAAAAATATATGTGTATATATATATTATTATTATTTTTTGAAATGGAGTTTCTCTCTCGTTGCCCAGGCTGGAGTGCAATGGCACAATCTCGGCTCACCACAACCTCTGCTTCCTGGGTTCAAGCGATTCTCCTGCCTCAGCCTCCCAAGTAGCTGGGATCACAGGCATGCACCACCACGTCCAGCTAATTTTGTATTTTTAGTAGAGAGGAGCTTTCACCATGTTGGTCAGACTGGTCTTGAATTCCCGACCTCAGGTGATCTGCCCAACTCAGCCTCCCAAAGTGCTGGGATTATAGGCATGAGCCACTGTGCCCGGCCTAAAAATTAATTTGTATATTGTTTTATAATCTCCGACTTAGATCAAAATAACATCTTACATATATCTTAATAAAAGATTAACCACATGAATAGTGTTTCTGTCAATTCTTCAATTTAAATACAGTCTTCCTTTTTAAATTTTTTTCAGTTTAATTTTTTTTTCTTTGAGTAAAAGCCAGAAAAGAAAATGGAAAATGGATTTCTATTAATATTATAAAAATGCTTAGTCCTGCAGTTTTCAGCTTTCTTTTTCAAGCTTGGATGAATTTAATAATTCAATTTCTTAAATGTTTTAACTAAACTATGTTAACATGTGAGGTATTTTTCTTTTTTGCATGACCTTAAAATAGCCTCTATAACTTGTTTTCAATCTTTAATATTTAAAGTTTGCTTTTGTGTTGTTAGATATAATTTAAAAAGAAATCAAGTACTGTTAGACTGAAAAACCATTAGAGCTTATTAAAGAAATTTTGAAACACAAATGTACATATGACCTAGTCTGATTGATCTGGATATGTTTTAGTTTAACCAAAAAAAGAGGCAGCAGGTACTGCTAAAGCAATCTTGTCTGAAGGAAGATTTCATATTGTGGGTCCCCTCTCACTTCACTCTAAATATGTGCTTTTTAGGCCTACCTTTCTGAAATGCACTTTGATTTTGTGTTAGTTGTATTAGGGCTTTCCAGAGAGACAAAACCAATAGATAGATATAGATATAGATATAGATATATAAGAGGAGATTTACTAGGAGAATTGTCTCACACAATTATGGATGCTCAGGAGTTCCATAACAGTCCATCTGCAAGCTGGAGACACTGGGATACCAGTAGCAAACTGCACACAGTTTAAGTTCAAAAGATTCAGAACCAAAGAAGCTAATAATGTAATTCTCAGTTTGAGGCTGAACGTCTGAGAACTATGGGGGCTGTGGGTTTAAGTCCTGGATTCCCAAGGCCAGAGAGCCCAGAGTTCTGATGTCCAAGGATGACAGGAGGAAGGTGTCTCAGCTTCAGGAGAGAGAGAGAAAAAAATATTTTCACTGATTTTTTTGTTTGTTTGTTTCTATCCAGACCTCCAGGTGATTGGATGGTGCCCACCCACACTGAAGGCCAATCTATCTCACTCAGTCCACTGACTTACAAGCCAGTCTCTTCTAGAAACACCCTCACAGATACACCTGGAAGTAATGCTTTACCAGTTATCTAGCTATTTCTTAATCCAGCCAAATCGACACCTAATATTTACATTTACAATACTGTCTGTGATAGTCATAAAGCTTATTTTACTGTATTTGTACCACATTTCATTCTGTTCTTTCAACATCTTTAATTCACATGAGATTTATTGCATTGCTAGAAGCCAGGAACCTTGTCTGTCATTCAAGAAAGCTCCTAGTATGGTCTAAAGGTTTTGTTCTCCCAAAATTCATGCGTTGAAATCTAACCCACAATGTGATGGTATTAAGAGGACCTTTTGGAAGCAATTACCTCATGGTGGTGTAGCCCAAATGAATGGAATTAGCACCCATTCATTTGCCCCTTTCACTTTCTGGGACATAGCTAGCAGGTGTCATCTCTAAGGAAACGGGTCCTCATTAGACAACCAATCTGACTGAGCCTTGATCTTGGACCTCTCAGCCTTCATCTTGGACTTCTCAGCCTTCAGAACTGTAAGAAATAAATGTCTGTTGTTCATGAGCTACTCGGTCTATGATAGTTTTGTTATAGCAGCCCAAACTAAGACAGGCTCCATTTTGCTCTAGTCCTCCCGAAGATGCTTATGAAATGTTTTTTGATATGGAAGAACATGTATCAATATACTATATCAGTGGTGATATTTAACCTCCAGGGAAGCAACAACTAATCTCAGAGAAAAATGTTTTATGAGAAGATAAAACAAAATAAACTGATGTTAAAAGTAAGCAAATTTCTTTTGCCCCAAAATTTGTACTTTCAGAGGCTTAGACATTATTTTATATTTCCTACTTCTGATGGGTTTATTTTAAAATACAGTATAACAGTTGCTATCACTTATTGTTAGTTAAAATGTTGAATTTAAAAATTTTATCCATAATTTCATATGGAATACCTGTGTTTTTAAATTGAAGCGTGAGGCATTTTACTCATTTTCTGTTTGTTTTTCTTCTGCTGGTAGCAAATGAGGACTGGTTGCTACAGCAACATATTTATTCTGCAAGTGCATTTGGGCTTTCATCAGATGTTCACTCTGACAGTGAGTTCTGCCTTCGGAATGTCTGACTTTTACAACCACAGCTAATTACAAAACCTGTAACAATTTTATTCCACTGCCCTAAAGTTTAATACAAAACTTGTAGTATTGAAACAAATGTGGATTGTGAAAACAAATCTTATGAAGAGCAGAGAAAAACAAAGGAATTACATTTTTAAATATATAGTCAAAAATATTAAACTTTAAATCATCTGTAGCTCTTAGGTTTGTAAAATACCTTTGGCAAGTGAGAACAAAAATGTCAGTTTTCTCTTTCTTTATTTTTCTCCATGACTCTTCAACCAAGGTTCTTCACAAATACTCAGAACTAAAATATTGTACTGGTTTTCAAATACTAGGCATTTCAACAAAATAATTTAACTCTTGAATCAGAAGAGGAAGTTATACTCACAATGTTTGAATTTTGTACCATTTCAACTGAATGTTTATGTATCTGGATGAATATTAATTTTCTGTAAACACAATGTACATACTATTTCTAAAGCTGCTGGATATAAATAAATATTCAAAACTTCTACTTTGTCAGTTTTTACAAAGAGCAAAAGGGTACAATATTTTCAAAGTCTAACACATATATCCATAGAGTAATATGAAACTAAGTAATGATTTCAGCCATGTTATTTCAAATATATTTTAAGTCACCTTTCTATTTCACAATTAAGAAACTGAAAGGCTATTTGTTCATTTATGTCTAATCTATTGGATACATATTTGAAGGTGTTGTGTACATATTACTCTTTTTATTTTAAATTTTATTTTGTGATGTATAGATGATGGATATTTGTATATAAATATATAACTGTGATCTTAGCATTTTAATTAATTTTGGTTTTCTTACTAAATAGCAAATTATGAAATTTTCTCCAAGTTATTAGGAATAAATCTGCATTGTTAGTTTTAAGGCTTTTTATGTTTTTAAAATACCCTAATTTAACTATTTTAATATTCATAATTCTTATGTATGAAAGGTTTTATTTTATGGAATTGGTTTCAAGTACTTCAAAAAGTACTGGAATTCCAGATTAATTTTCTAAAGTAGTAACAAAAACATAAGGAATAAGTAAAGGTGTAATTACTCATATATTCTCCAGTTATATATGATTCTGCTCATTTCCTTTTGTAAACAAAGCGATAAATATTACCAGATGATGATGATGACTAATTATTATAATAATTTTGGCTGCAAGATATATATAAAGTAATAGCTTCTTGCTATTTAATTTCCATTTCCCCACCTCCATTTTTCATGTTTATTGATCATTCAGATTTAATTTTCTATAACATCCCTTTTGTGTTTGTTTCTTTGGTTATTGGTTTTTTTGTTTGTTTTTGAGACAGGGTCTTGTTCTGTCACGTAGCTTTGTGTGCAGTGGTGCCTCAGCTATTTCTCTTTTCTCCTACAATGGTAATTTTGATGGTCAGATGACATAGAGGGTATAACTCCAAATAAAGGCAAGTAACTTTTATTAGGAAAAAATAAACACGTTATATAATGCTTGAGGTGTTGACATTTGTCTGTTTTAACAAATAGAGCTAATTATTATTCTAATGTCTATTGTCCCAGGGGTAACTGAGCAATGCCATAGGATCTCCTCCACCTCTGTCCCAAATTATAGACTTTATAATTTTGTCTATGGTCCATTTTATCTTTTATTCATTTTCTTTTGCTCACTTTTTAAATTTCCATTTTCTATTCTCTTTACTATTTTGCCAATTGTGAACAAAATCAATTTACACTTATTCTCTCTCTAATTTTGTCTTCATTTTTTTGATGATTCTAATTTTTTCACCTATTTATTAAGTTTGGTCAAATGTTGTCAACTTTTATGTTTCTTTTTCTGTATTTGAAGGAACTTGGATAGTATATCAAGGGCCCCATAAATACACTTTATATTAATTAATTAATTGTTTCACACATTTGTAAGTTTTTCACATTTCTTCCTACAATTTTATGAGTGGTTTTTAATCATATTTTCTCAAACTATCCCAAGAATCTAACATCTGAGATAATGGACATTTTCATAGGAATATGGGTTTAAATATTATTGGTTTTTAAATACAACAAAGGGCATATATTTAATGAAAATTGAGATTTTAGTAGCCTAATAAATGATTATTATTTATTAATTTAGTGTACATTGTTGTGTTTTTTCAAAGTAACATAAAGTCATGAAATATTTCAAAATGGTATTACTAAAAACAGCTAAAGTTTTTATAACATGTACCACTGCTAAACATATTACTTCTAGTAGATAATAATAAATATACTAGTTCTAATATGGCTGTAAGACAGACATTTCTCCCTTTCTTTTTAAATTGTTATGCCTTTTTACTTTTTTCCTTTCCTGGTTGAATTTGTTAAGGCCTCCTGTACAATCTGAATCTAATATCAGTGACTGATGGTAGACCTACTTGCTTTGTTTCTAATAGAAGGAAAGGTAGAGTGTTCAAAACATGAGCTGTGTATCTGATGTTAGCAGTAGGTTTATACAGATATCTTTTATCATATTGAAAAAGTTTTTTCTTTTTAGTATACTGAGGATTTTTTTCATGAGTACACATTATATTTTGCCGAATACCACCATATGCTAATGGGTTCATAATTTTTCTCCTTTATACTCTCAATGTGAATGGTACTGATTACTTTTGAAGGTTAAACCAATCCTTCATTACTAGGAAAAATTCTAGCAGGTCATGATGGACTATCATCTTCATATATTGCTGAATTTAACTGGATATGCTATAAATATTTTTTCTATTTATGTTCATGACAGGCATCGATTTTAGTGTACACTTAAGATTCCCTTTAAATATAAATCCTTTCTTTCTATTGGTGTATAGTATTCTTAACCCATAATAAATCTGTTCCAAGAGTGTAAACTGAGTCCAGCAAGTCCTTTCAGCAAGTGAACATTTAAGGTAGCTAATTGATAAGTAGAGCTGAAGGATATATAGGAAGACTATGAAGAATTTTATAGTCTAAAGACTATTAAGTAAGGAAGCTTGGATGATTGGGAAGATTCAAATAGTCTATGGAATATGCCCTAGAAAATATCTGGTCATGAATTTCCACTGCTTCATTAGTAACAATGGGTAACTCTTTTGCCAATAAACATTGTTATTTTTCAACATCACTGCCTCACTAAACCTAATATTTGCTTTAATATTATATTTTTCTTTCAGTACTTAAAGTTCTGTATTGTAATGAATGGCTTCTTATTATTAGTGAAGCACAGCTTGACATCTTCCCAGCTGCTGATTAGGTTAAGGTGATCTGACATAGTCACCTGATAGAGGCAAACATAAATTTTCTCTGGAGGCAGAAAACATTAATACATGCAGCAACCCTAGAAGTGAGATGCTTATTACTCCTTCCAAGAAAGAACTTGCTCTCTAGGTTAGAGAAGTTGACTTACAGCCCCTAGTCATTATAATTTCAGAATCCACTGTTGGACTCAACAAAAGGTAGTGCTGTATCTGAGTAGCCACCAGGAAATAACTAAGCACAGTAGTAACTAATCAAAATAGGGGTAGCAGGATCTAGATTTTCCCTCCAAAAGAGAAATTCCTTTTTAGTACAGATAATCTCATTGTGTTGGTCTAGATTTTATCGTGTTTGTGTCATGGCCTCTTCCTGACTAATCCTCCTTCCTCCTCTCTTACCTTAGTAAGATGACCTCGATACTTATCATTACATTACAACAATTATATCATTGGGATATTTGTGCAAGAAATCAATCCAATAGAATCCAGTAATTGATCCCAAAATAAATAGACTTTTGATTAATTATAAAGTGGTAGAAAGCAGCTGTAAAAAGAATAAGCATTTAAATAAATGGTTCTGACTTAATTAGATAGCCATAGACTATCGTTTGGAAATGATTTGTTTGTCCTCACCAAAACTCATACTGAAATTTGACCCCCAATAAGATGGTTTGTCTCTGTATCCCCATTCAAATCTCATGTCAAATTGTAATCTCCACATGTCAGGGGAGGCGCCTGTTGGGAGATGACCAGATCATGGGGGCAGATTTCCGCCATGCTGTTCTCATGATGGTGAGTGAATTCTCATGAGAGCTGATGATTTAAAAGTGTGTGGAACTTCCTCTCTTGCTCTCTCTCTCCTGCCTTGCCAAGGTAAGGATGTGCTTGCTTCCCCTTCGCCTTCCGCCATGATTGTAAGTCTCCTAAGGCCTCCTAGTGGTGCTTCCTGTTAAGCCTGCAGAACTGTGAGTCAATTAAACCTCTATTATTCATATATTACCCAATCTCAGGTGTTCTTTATAGTAGTGTGAGAACAGACTAACACAGAAAGTTAGTACCAATACTGGGGCACTGCTATAAAAATACTTGTAAATGTGGAAGCAACTTTGGAACTGGGTAATGAGCAGAAGTTGGAACAGTTTGGAGGGCTCAGTAGAAGACAGGAGCATGTGGGAAGGTCTTCCTAGAGACTGGTTGAATGATTTTGATCAAAATGCTGGTAGTGATATGGAAAGTAAAGTCCAGGCTGAGGTCATCTCAGATGGAGATGAAGAAATATTGGGAACTAGAATAAAGGTCATTCTTGCTATGCTTTAGCAAAGAGATTGGCAACATTTTGCCCTTGCCCTAGGTATCTGTGGAACTTTGAACCTGAAAAAGATGATTTAGGATATCTGGCCAGACAAATTTCTAAGCATCAAAGCATTCAAGATATAACCTGGCTTTTGATTAAAAACATGCAGTCATATGTATTGCATGACCTGTCTGTGTCTAAAAGAGAATGCTCATACATGTGGAAAGGAGATGGTATGAAATTGGAACATATATTTAAAAGCAGAGTATAAAAGTTTGAAAAATTTGCATCCTGACTCTGTGGTAGAAAAGAAAACAAAACAAAACAAAAAAGCAACAATACAATATCTAGGGAGAAATTCAAGATGGTTGCAGAAATTTGCCTAAGTAATGAGGAGCTGAATGTTAATAGCCAAGACAATGAGGAAAATGTCTCCAGGACATGTCAGAGACCTTTGCAGAAGCCCCTCCTATCACAGGCCTAGAAACCTAGGAGGGAAAAATGGTTTTGTGGGCCAGGCCCGGGATCCCAATGCTCCGTACAGCCTCAGAACATGGCACCTTGCATCCCAGCCACTCCAGCTTCAGCTGTGGCTAAAAGGGACCAAGGCACACCTTGAGCCATTGCTTCAGAAGGTACAAACCCCAAGCTTTGGCACCTTCCGCATGGCATAGGGCCTGTGGGTACACAAAAGGCAAGAGTTGATGTTTAGGGACCTCTGCCTACATTTCAAGGATGTACGGAAACATCTAAATGTCCAGGCAGAAGCCTGCTGCAGGGGCAAAGCCCTCATGGAGAGCTTCTACTAGGGCAATATGGAGGAGAAATGTGGAGTCAGAGCCACTACACAAAGTCACCACTGAGGAACTGCTTAGTGGATCTGTGAGAAGAGGATCACTATCTTCCAGAACCCAGAATTGTAGATCCACTGATAGATTGCACCATGCACCTGGAAAAGCCACAGGCACTCAATGCCAGCCCATGAAAGCAGCCGGGAATGAGGCTCTACCCTGCAGAGCCACAGGGGCAGAGCTACCCAAGGCTGTGGGAGCCCACCACTTGCATCAGTGTGACCTGTATGTGAGGGATGGAGTCAAAGGAGATTATTTCAGAGCATTAAGATTTAAGGACTGCACCACTGGGTTTTGAACTTGCATGATCCATGCAGCTGCTTTGTAATGGGAGCTTTTATCTAATGCCTGTACCCCCATTGTATTTTATCCCTTTTGTAATGGGAGCATTTATCTAATGCCTGTACCCCCGTTGTATCTAGGAAGTAGGTAACTTGCTTTTGATTTTATAGGCTCACAGGAAGAAGGGACTTGCATTGTGTCAGGTGAGACTTTGGACTTGGACTTCTGAGTTAATGCTGGAATGAGTTAAGATTTGAGGGGACTGTTGGAAAAGCATGTATGGTTTCAAAAGGTGAGAATAACAGGAGATTTGGGAGGTGCCAGAGGGAGAATAATATAGTCTGGCTCTGTGTTCTCACCCAAATCTCATATCAAATTGTAATCCTCACTTATCGGGGAGGGGCCTGGTAGGAGGTGATTGGATCTTGGGTTCTCATAATAACAAGATCTCTCATGAGATCTGATGGTTTAAAAGTTTTCTGAGGCCTCCCTGTCATGCTGCCCATTAAGTGTGCAGTACTTTGAGTCATGTAAACCTCTTTTCTTTATAAATTACCCAGTTTCAGGTAGTTCTTTATAGCAGTGTGAGAAAAGACTAATACACCCAACATTGCAAATGTTGGGAGATGGAGCTCAGTGAAAGGTGTTTAAGTTATGGGAGCAGAAGCCGCATGAATGGTTTGGTGTTGTTCTTGCAGCAGTGAGATCTCACTCTCAAGAGACTGATTTTTACAGAAATAAATTATTTCCTGCCAGAGGTGGTTTTTGTAAAGCCAGCAGGCCTCTTCATACATGTCCGCTTTCTCTTTGAATCTTTCCATTACATTATGATTGTGATGCAGCATAAGAGCTTTTACCAGAAGCCAGGGCCATGCCCTTAGATTTCTCAACCTGCAGTACTGTGAGCTCAATAAACTGCCTTTCTTTATGAACAAACATTATATAATAGCAACACAAAATAGACAAAGACACCATATAAAAGAACAACAAATGGGTGCTGACTTTGTCATTACACCTTACATGTTTTTTGTTAAATTTGGACTATACATACACATGTTAATTTTAAAATACATAAGTTCTCTAGAAGAAAACATAAAAAGAATATTTTCAAAATTTGGGGATAAAAAAATATTTCACTAAGGCAAAACAGTGTATCAGTGAGAAATATTCACAGCTGGTGGAAATATAAAATGACACAAAGACTGTGGGAAATTTTTGGCAGGATTAATAAAAATTATCATATCCTATGACTAACATTTGTATTCTTGAGAATATACTCATTAATGTGTACCTCAATATTCACAATAGCCAAAAATGAAAACAAATAAAATGCCCATGAACTATAAAATGGATAGTGTTATATTTATATTATATAATACAATACTATACATAATTATTTTTAAAATAGGAAATGGCTTCTATACATAAAACTCACAAATCTACCAAACAATATCTGATTAATTATTCAATATAGTTAACATTGTATAACATCAAATTTGGCAGGATTAATCTATGGAAATTAAAATAACATGAAAGTCAGGGTTTTGCTTTGCCTTCAGGAGGAGTGATGAGTAGTGAATAGAAGGTATGAATTGGGCTTTTGAGTTGCAGGTAATATTTTATTTTTAACTTGTTTGGGGATTCACAGATTTGTTGCTCTGAAAATCAAGAGTAGTACACTACCAGAAAGTAATGTACCTTTCAGTATGTGTGCTATGTATCAACTTAAAAATTTTCACACATACACACACACACAAAACAAACAAACAAAAAAACCCTATCTTTTCAAAAAGACAAGACCAGGCATGATGACTCACACCTGTAATCCTGGCACTTCGGGAGACTGCGATGGGTGGGTGGCTTGAGCCTAGGAGTTTAACACTAGCCTGGAAATAATAGTGGGACCCTATGTCTGGAAAAAAATGAATTGACAGAATTACCTGTGTGTGGTGGTATGTGCCTCTAGTCTCAGCTATTCCAGAGCTGAGGTGGGAGGATTGCTTGAGCCTGGGAGATCAAGGCTTCTCTGATCATGCCATATGATCATGCCACTGCACTTCAGCCTGGGTGCCAGAGAGAAATTTTGTCTCAAAAAAAAAAAAAAATGTAAAGGAAAATCAAGAGTGAAAATGCAGGATATTTAAATAATTTTTTGTCAATAGTTACAAGATGTATTAAAAGTTGTATTTAGGAAAATACAAATTCAAATTTATTACAGAAATAATAATACAAAATAAATTATTTAAGCATTCAATGCAGCGAGCTTAGGAAATACTAAAGCCAAGAAAACTAAAAATTTAAATTACAAAGCTAAAATAAACAACTGGATTAAAAAATGGGCAAACGATCAAATAGCTAATCAAAGAAGATATACAAATGGCAAATAAGCATATGAAAAGATGATCAACACCACATGTGATTACTGAATTGCAAGTTAGCACAACAGTGAAAACCACTGCACAGCTACTAAAATGGTCAAATTCCAAAACACTGACAATAATACCTAATTGCTGTGGGAATGCAAAATGGTAAAACCACTTTGCAAGACACTTCCACAGTTTCTTACAAAACTAAACAAACATTCTCTGACCATATGATCCACGTAATCATACCCCATTGTATTTACTAAAATGAGTTGAAAATATATGTCCACACAAAAGCCTGCACATGACGTTTATAGTAACTTTATTCATAATTGCCAAAACTTGAAACCAACCAAGATGTTCTTTAGTAGGTGAATGGATAAATAAAGTGTAGAACATCCGGACAATGGACTATTACTGGAAACTAAAAAATATGAGTTACTAAGCAATGAAAAGGCATGGAGGAGATTTACATGCATATTACTAAGTGAAATAAGTCATTTTAAAAATCCATAAACTGCATGATTTTAACTACATGACAAGGCAAAAAGTACAAAGAAAATAAAACATTCAGTGGTTGCTCTGGGGGAAGGGACAGAAGACTCTCGCAGGAGCACAGAGGATTTTTAAGGCAGTGAAAACTGTTCTGAATGATACTACAATGCTAGATAAATGTCATTATACATTTGTCAAAACCTACGGAATATACAACGCTGCTGGTGAACTGTAATGTGAACTATTGACTCTGGATGATAATAATGTGTTACTGTGTTAGATTCATTGATTTTAACAAATGTATCATTCTGGTATAGGATGCTGATAGTTGGATAGGCTAAGGCGGGGAACAAGGGATATATGGGAACTCTGTATGTTTTGCTCAATATTTCTGTGAACTTAAAACTTCTAAAAATAAAATTAAAAATACATGCACACACAAAACCTCAACAGTAAAGAAATCATATATAGACAAGAATAAAAAATATTTCCAATTACCACACCAAATATTTAGGTCAAAAGAAGTTTTCAATGAATTTTTTTAAATGTTTCTAACAAGCGGTATCACAAAACATTCTACCATTTTTTAACCTAATTTGCAAAAGACTGATAAAACTGACATTGAAAACTCTTAAATAATATAGTATTTTAAAAGACTAGGATCCATTCTTAGTGTTATAAAATATTTATTACAAAGCAATTGTAAACATGTTACATAGTGATGAAACAGTAAAAATCATTCAAACAAAATTAGAGGACCGAAAATTTCATTATGTTACATTGTTCCAGAAAAGCCAGTCAAAGCAACAGATAGTCAAAGAACTACAAATAATTAATATAAATAAGAAGATTTTCAGGTAATAGCAAGGTGTACTGAGAAACACAAGAAAATCTAAAAACTTTTTTAGAAATAGTAAAAGATTAGGTAAAAAGGAATAACATTTTCAGTAGAATACAAATTTAGATATACTGGAGAAAAAAAGTTGTCATGAACAATAGGAAAACCATATTAAATCTCTAATGTAGTTTAAATATTTTAGATGCAGGAGCAGATAACAACCTGGGGAAATGTCTTTTACTTTTCAAATGTGACCTTAACCTTATACAAATCTTCCCCTGACTTTCTTATAGTTGGTCATATGACCTTCCAGGGTCTCACCCCACAACCTGGAGGCCAGTTACATTTCTACAAGGTTGTCCACAAAAACCCAAAAGTACTGGGTTTGGAGAGCTTCCACATGGCTGAACATGTGGAGGTTCCTAGAGGGTGACATTCCCAGGGAGGTCATAGAAGCTCATGCCTTTTCCCCCATATCTTGCCCTATGTGTCTCTTCATTTGCATCCTTTGTGGTGTCCTTTGTAATAAACCTGTAAATGTAAGTGTTTTCTTGATTTCTGTGAGCCGTTCCAGCTAATTAATTAAACCCAAAGAGGGGGTCATGGAAACCTCAACTTGAAGCTTAGGTCAGAAGTCCTGGAGGCCCGAAATTGTGCCTGGTGTGGGGTTAGGCAGTCTTGTGGATTGAGCTATCAACCTGAGGGATCCGACACTATCTCCAGGTAGATAGTGTCAGAAAAAATTACAGAATGCCTAGCTGGTGTCCACTGAAGAACTGATTGCTCACTTGGTGGTGGGAAGAAACTGCTCCCACATTTGGTCACAGAGTCTTCTGTATTGATTGTTGTGTTGGTGTGAGAGCAGAGGAAACATGGTTACAGTGTGTATTTGTCTGTTCTGATGCTGCTATAGAGAACTGCCTGAGACTGGGTAATTTACAAAAGAAAGAGTTTTAATTGACTCAGAGTTCAACATGGCTGAGTAACCTTCAGGAAAATTACAATCATGGTGGAATGGGAGGCAAATGTGTCCTTCTTCACATGGTAGCAGGACAGACAAGTGCCAAGCAAAGGGGGACAAGCCCTTATAAAACCATCAGATCTCATGAGAACTCACTCACTATCATGAGAACAGCATAAGGATATCCACCCCCCATGATTCAATTATCTCCCACTAGGTCCCTCCCACAACATGTGAGAATTATCAGAACTACAACTCAAGATGAGATTTGGGTGGGGACATAGCCAAACCGTATCACATTGTTTTCTCCAAACACCCACAAATTGAAAAAATAAGCTGGTTAAAATTAAAGGCACCAATTTTTTCTTTACTTATATTTCTATACCCTAAGCCACCTAAATATTATCATTACATTGATGTTTTTAAATGGTGTTTGCATTGTTTCATCATCTTCTAAGATAACATTGTAATAAAACTTATTAAACATAAAATGTCATAAATGTATTCACAGTAATACAGCCTTCTACAGAAAAGTCATGGGATTCAAATGTTATTCCTTCCCATTTCACTCTTATTTAATAAGAGCGTTAAGTAGAAATTTCAGTGAGGAAATTTAATTATAACTTTTGTTTATTGTGCTATATATCATCCTGGAGCAATAGTTCCACAGGGGATATCCCCATCTGGAGAGACAGTGTATTTTTGTCCTGTGGTGCAGGAACAAACTACTACAAACATGGTGGCTTAAAACAATAAAAATACATTTATTCTCTCACAGTTCGGGGGAACAGAAGTCCAACATCAGTGTTGGCAGGCTCCAAGAGAGATTGAATTCCCTGCTTCTTCCAGTTTCTGGGGCTGGCAGCATTCCTTTGCTTGAGCCCACATCAGTGCAAGCTCTGCCTCCAACTTCCTATCATCCTCTATTCTTTTGGGAGTTACTCTCGAAACTCCCTTCTTTTCTCTTATAAGGATACATTTGATTCATTTAGGGCTCACATGATAATTCAAGATAAAAACTCCTTCTCTCAGGATCCTTAATTTAATCACATATTTTGCCATATAAGCTACAATTAGAGGTTCCAGGATTTGATGTGAATA
The DNA here is from genome assembly GCF_000001405.40 of Homo sapiens. Classification (NCBI taxonomy): domain Eukaryota; kingdom Metazoa; phylum Chordata; class Mammalia; order Primates; family Hominidae; genus Homo; species Homo sapiens. The sequence goes on along the minus strand of NC_000005.10, from coordinate 99,783,744 downwards.
CCTTTGGGGTGAGGGGAGGTGAGAGGGCAGCTATTTTTTAACGTACCACAGAGGGAAATAGGAAATTGGCCTTTCTGTCATATAGTATGAAAGCCATTAGGAGTGATTCCTTTTGCTGGACTCTTTCCTACTTTGAAGTGGTCTTATTTAGCATCTACTAGGATGTGGGGGTGGGGAATTAGGGGGAGACTCTTGAGGTGTTCCTACAGGAATTATATAGAATCCTATTCTCTGGCTCTCTCTCCTCCAAAACTTCCCTGACTGATTGTTAGTCAGTTGCTTAGACTCATTTTCCTGGTGGCTTAGAATCATCTTCCTGGTTCTTCCAACCAGAAAATTCGTAGTGTTTTTAAATCATTAAGTTTAACTGTCCATATAGTCATCCTGTAACTACTACCCAAGAAAAGCAAAAAGCTGGAAAAGAAGGGAGGAATGAAGGAAGGTAGGAAAAAGGCAAAGAAGAAAGGAAGAGAGGAAGAGGGGAAGGAGGGAAGGAGAGAGAGAGGGGGGAAAGAAGGGAGGGGGAGAAGGAGGGAGGAAGAAAGAAACATAAAGAAATTCACCTCCATTCTACTGGCTTCTCCAAGTTTCCATTTTCTTACACTGTGTTCATGTTTATGTTTACTCTTCAAAATTTTCAGGTAGTTATTCTGTTTCATAGCATTCTTCGTTTAGAGTTATGTATTATAGGGTTAGTCTTCAGAAGGCTTACATTGCCCACTAGGTGTGGAAATAACACAGCCTGGTTATTTTAATTTATCTTTGATACGTATTCAAATACTCTTAACTGCTGATGGGTTCTGTCTATATAGACTCCTTCTGGGAAACAGTGGTCCCATATATTCTGTATAGAAAATCTAAAATAGTGCATAAGTATTCAAATGAATCAAATGATTAATAGAATTATTTTTGCAAACTTCAGTTAAATACACCAATGTTCCCACACACTGATTTTTGGAGGAAAAATCAACACTGATATGATTGGAAAAATAAAGATATTTTAGAGGTCAAGTAAACATGAAAGGAGTAAAAGTAAATCTCATGTTATAGAAGAAGGTCAATAACACAATCATTAGAAGATTACTTTCAGAAAAAACTTTCCTTTTTTAAGCTCTTGGACAAAAAGCTCCTTTGAGTGGCCAAATTTAAACATTCAAGTTATAAATAACTCTCAAGTGATGTTTGAGTCAATTTCTCAAGGTAACTTTCTCCCCAGTATTTTAATCAAATTATATCTGGTTTTTTTTTGTCTTATTGGCTTGCTTATAATTTACCTCATATGGCACAAATGAATTTTAATAAAATGTTATGGGTTTATTTAATAGTAATTTTTACATGAAATAACACTTATATCTGGATATCAGAATATATAATAAAAAATCATATAGTTATAAAATCTGAAAATATTGTTAGAATTTTCTTCTTATTAGACTCATCAAATCTAAGGCTACATCTGGTGAAGACAACATAACTACACAATTTTGGACATTTACATTTTAATAGAATTTTTACAACTTGTTTTTATGAAAAGTATGGTGAAGTTTAATAATACAAACAAAATTCCATTGTTGACTGATAAATGATTCTAAAGCTTAAATAAATAAAAAATGCAGAGATCTAAAAATCTAATTTAATCAATGATCTTCCATCACATTCTGCATCTCTTACTATTCTTCCAAGATCAGTTAAAACTAACATCAATTACAAATACGTTAACATTTTTTCCTCTTCAACAATGTTACATGCTGTCGCATTAAACATTTAAAATATTATTTTCTTTATATATGTTAATTGCAGTAAGTATGGGCTGTTTATAAGTAGTTAGTGAATTCCAACTAATGTCTCTCATGTCAGAATATACTTGCTTTTTAAAGGCATATGGAATTGTTGAGTATTGTGACTACATTGAGTATGCTTTGCAAATATTTGCTTAAGGAAAACTAATCTTTTGATTAAAACAGGGACTCAACTTTACAATACTAAGAGAAAACTATAGTTTAGAAAGTATAAAATAATTTTGACTACCTTTTATTATTAGGTAAATAATAAAAATTAATTAAGGGCAATAAGTTTTCTTAGAGTGAAGTATCACTTAAAATCAGCTTTATCAAAGAAATGTCCCTGAACTTTTCCATGAGTTCCTTGGTACGAGTCTCTGCCTCCTCTCATATAAAAAAAATCAACACAACTATATGACAAATTGGAATGGTATCCTTCTTTCCAATCAGTAGATTTATGTCCAGTTATTCCAATTTCTTAGAGAACTACCATCTATGTGTTTATGAATTAATATGCATTACATCATTTCAAGCAACCATTACTAATTTGAGATCAATATAGGATTGCATACAAAAACCGCTAGTATGTTGAAAATTCATTGGAGGGCATCTTGCAATAAAACTAAATTCCAGCAAATTATGACTTTAAAATATAAAGGTAAAGGGAGATTCTTCTTTAATTTGCTTAGAGAAGATTAAATTTATTTTCAAATTTTCATTTAAAAAGAAATATTTACTCATTTAAAGTAAATTCAAATTTATTTAATTAATAATTTTCAGGTTGGGTGCGGTGGCTCACGCCTGTAATCCCAGCACTTTTCGGAGGCCGAGGCGGGTGGATCACGAGGTCAGGAAATCGAGACCATCCTGGCTAACACAGTGAAACCCCGTCTCTACTAAAAATACAAAAAAAATTAGCCAGGCATGGTGGTGGGCACCCGTAGTCCCAGCTTCTCGGGAGGCTGAGGCAGGAGAATGGTGTGAACCGGAGAGGCGGAGCTTGCAGTGAACCGAGATTGCGCCACTGCACTCCAGCCTGGGCAACAGAGTGAGACTCCATCTCAAAATAATAATAATAATAATTTTAAAAAACTATATTTAAGGACATAATTTTTCTTGACACCTTCTATGACAAAATTTAAGCAATATTATTAAAAATCTTATATGGCAGTCCCCCCTTTTCCTGAGTTTTACTTCCCATGATTTCAGTTATCTGAGATCAATAAAAGTCTGGAAATATTAAATGGAAATTTCAAAAAATAATTAATTCATAAGTTTTAAATTGCACACCGTTGTAAGTAGCATAATGAAATCTCACTTTTTCCTGCTCTAGCCTGCAGTGGATGTGAATCATTCCTTTATCTACCATATGCACACTGTAGAACTGTTGCTTACTTGGAAGCCATCTTGGTTATCGGATCAAAGAAATACAGTATACATAGAGTTCAGTACTGTTTAGCCACAGTTTCAGGCATCCATTAAGGGTCTTGGTGTGTATCCCCTACGGATAAGGGGGACTACTCTAAAAGCGTTTTTACATGAATTACCGTTTACGTTTTGTGTATCTCTTTTAAATATTGTGGAAAAAACAAAATTTGTTTTCCTCTATTATGAGTGCTCATTGAGTAGCATTTAACTTATAAGGAAACTGATCATTATCTGAATCAGAAGAAAAGAAAATTTTCATAATCTGTGATCACACGAATGGTGTACAAGATAAGTCTTTACTTATCAGTGGTACACGTAGGAAATAAGTCACATCAAATAATCAAAGATTTCTATGTACATAGAAAATATATCCCTTACTCTATGTAGAGGACACAACTGAAGTGAATCCCAATGAGTCGCAGCATTCCATAATATTCCCTCAAGTTTAGACATTACCTGTCATTTGCTTCTAGAAGCCTATAAATACGGTAGAAGTGATGGGATAGTCAAGTCCTTGATTCAGCTACATTCCATAAGACTCCATCTTAGCCTATTGGGGGAGGGAGTCTTCTGTTGTCCTTGAACAAGCAAGGTGCTACCTATTCCTTTAATAGTGCATTATGAGCCTGCCCAACATGGCGAAGCCCCTACTAAAAATACAAAACAAACAAAAAACAAAACAAAACACCAAAAAACAAAACAAAACAAAAAAAACAAAACCACATTAGCCAGCATGGTAGCACATGCCTGTAGTCCCAGCTACTTGGGAGACTGAGGCACATAGTTTGAACCTGGGAGGTGGAGGTTGCAGTGAGCCAAGATCATGCCACTGCACCCCAGCCTTGGCGACAGAGCAAGACTCTGTCTCATAAACTGTATAGACTCTGTCTCATAAACTGTAATCACAAAATAGCATTATGGAAGGAGGTGCTAGATTAATGATTACTAATAGCTCTACATAAAAAATGCTGAAAAATGAATTTTCTAATGAGGATCATTTTTTTTTTTTTTTTTTTTTTTTTGAGACGGAGTCTCACTCTGTCGCCCAGGCTGGAGTGCGGTGGCGCTATCTCGGCTCACTGCAAGCTCCACCTCGGGGGTTCACGCCATTTTCCTGCCTTAGCCTCCCGATTAGCTGGGACTACAGTCACCTGCCACCACGCCCCTAATTTTTTGTATTTTTAGTAGAGACGGGGTTTCACCATGTTAGCCAGGATGGTCTCCATCTCCTGACCTTGTGATCCCACCCGAAGTGCTGGGATTACAGGCGTGAGCTACCGCACCCGGCCAAGGAGCATCTTAATAAGATAAGAAGGATATTGTTGTTTTCCCTTGCAAAGGTCACTTGTGCTTTAACACTTGACAAAATAAGGTTCAAAAACAAAGTTGTAATTTTGTCAAGAGATTTACTTTTCACCAAGAAACATTATAATTATTTATTAGTATAAATTATCACTAAATTAATTCTTATATGAAAATGAGATACACTTGAGCACATTTTGACAAGAGATTTAAAATGTGTATCACAAAGCTTTGTTACTTCATGTTTGTTTTGTAAAAATTTTGCTTTCTACTTTTTAACTGGAAGAGAAAAAATGTCAGCTGTGTAATAATTTATAATCGATGTTATATTTATTATTTTGATTACTTTAAGGCAATTCCATGTCCTCAGATATTTTATTTGCTTTTATTAGTGGACACTTCATGAAAGGAAATTTAAAATTCAAGTTCAAGATTTTTGATGATGTAAAATTTAAAAATAATGAATGTTATTCTGTCTAGTAAAATATTACTGTGTTCACTAGAAATAACACAAGTTGTTATATGATACTATAATGCAAAATGTTGTCATCTTGGTAAGACTATTATTCTTTGTACAATGTGGTAAAAGCAAGATTTACATAAAGTTTTAACTATTTCAATTTTAATAAAAATTCTGTTGACTTGCTTAATTTGCCAAGGGAGAAGGTAAATTTTTTGACATTTAAAGAACTTTCCTAGTTCTTTAAATGTTTTCCAATGCATTATACTCTGCCAATTATGATCATTCCAGTTCATTAGATGCTGTCTGGAAATAAAAGGAATGAAGCAGAAATACTCCCTACTGATACATTATTTTTGGAGGATAGGCATTACACAATTAGCAAATGTTATTAAGTGTCTTTAAGTATCATTAGTGAAGAAGAATGGAAAACTGTTTAATGGTTACCCCTCTCTGTGCTTTAAATGGGTTGATAGTGCATGAAGCCATTTAAAGATATAAAATAAAAAAAGACGGGCAAGACCATCTGTTCTATATATTCATTATCCTATACATTTTATTTTGCATACTTTTTCATTAAGAAATAATTCATTGAACTGAAACCGTGGTCAGAAAGAAGGGCAAATGCCTACACATACCCCGAATTAAAACCATAAGTTTAATAACATTTTGGAAATTTTTTTGTTAAGATTAACATTTAAAGCTCTTATTTCATGTTACTGTATCCCCAAAATGTTGTCATTAGGAAATCTGATTTATAATACAATGTAGTTTCTTACAATGCAAATGATAGTGTGCTATTATTAAATATATCTTTTTATTTAAAAAGTTGTCTTCAAAAATTTATAATTTTATCTGAAAAAGTTGTTAAATGAATATTTATATAATAGCTCATTTTTGTCATTAACAAATCATCTCATGGATTAAACAAGCTGAATATGATTACAATATGTATAAACCAATATTTATATGCCTATACATCAAAGCTATTGTAGATCTTTTCCATATGCTTATAGTGAGAAGGAAAAGTATGAGAGTGGAGTTTGGGCAATAGACATGAAACATTAAATATCCATGTGCTACAAAGCAGTAGATTCAGGTTATGGAGTTGGCCAATGAAGGCCTACAGTAAATGAGAAAGATATGCTACATAATTCATCTGCCCCACATAGGAATATTTTATAATTTATGAAATATAAATGCCATACTCCTCCAAAAAGTAATTAGCAACTGTTTTAGAAGACTTAAAATATTTAAAAAGTACATGCAAACAAAAAATTAACGAAACTCTCTTGCCAGCTACTGTTTATCTCTGTTTAGAATTGTCGTAATATGTCAAGACTTGTTACATATCGCAACTTCTAAAAATTACCTACTACCAACAAAGTACATGGCACCTTTTCATAAATATTATTAAATAAAAACAAAAATGGAAAAAATAGAATGTATAAAACGCTCTTAGCAGCATCTATATAACTCTCGAGTATTGTAATAAATATTTTAAGGTTGGAAATGCAAAACAGAAACTACTACAAACTTCAAGAAAGCAGTCTCAAGAATGTCGCGTGAGGCTGGACACACAACTGCACTCTAGCCTGGACAAGAGAGTGAAATCCTGTCTCAAAACAAAGCAAAAACAAAAACAAAACAAAACAAAACAAAAAAGTGAATATCCCATGAAGTTGATAGTTGCAATAATCAAAATTTTGAAACTGAGTAACATATAGGGCAATAATTTTTACTGATAATGAGACTCTTACTATTCCAATTTTAAACCATTTACCTTGCCTCCCAGTAAAGTAGCAGATTTGGAGGAGGAAAAGAAGATAAAACTCTAATCTAAAAATTTACAGAAATTAAGAAATATCAGGAAAAATAAATACCGAATATTATCACATTAAGTAACATGCATGGCAGTAAAAAATACAATGACCACTAATACAGTGTGGTGCCACTGCCATTATTAGTGCTAAGACCCCAACAGTTTTACCAGCTATTGTTTTGCACAAACAGTGCAATGTCAACATAATATGAAAAAATAAATGGAGCGTTGAATTTTTATAAAAATGATTTTGACCTTGCAATCCCCTTAACCCTGGTAGATCCATGTATTGCACTTCAAGGACCATTTCTTTAAAAGCCAGTGTATTACTTGCTGCAGTAAGTAGAAAATTTATGTTATTTATAATATTGCTTATTATTTGGGCAAATATTCTATTAATATATTTATCTCCATTTTTAGATCTAGAGAATGTATAAACATATCAGTAACTAACCTTATAATAAAAGTTTTATGACTCATATGTTATGCTAAGCCTAACTAATGTAGTTGATAGTACATATAATTAACAATTTTATAATAAATTAAACTCTAAATAATGCATATTTATTACTTCCACATCTTAGAGCTTATTTGGCAATTATTCTAAAGTCCCTAGGTGCTTTAAAGCACGGGTTACAGAAGCTCGTGTTGAGTAGTCTTGGTGTAAATCCTGGCCCTGCCACCTTTTGTTTGTGTTACCTTATTGAGTATCTTACAGTGACATATGTCAGGTTCTGCTACTGCAAAATTGAACATAATGTTGGTAACTATTTCATAGGATTATTGTGAAAATTAAATTAAAATCATGGAAAGCAAATATAACAGTTCATGGCATATAGTACAAGCAAATTAAATACTATTACATATTAGCATAAAAAAATAAGAGTAAAAGAGATCATAATTTTAGGATGTAAGTTTCTGGAAAAAAAATACCCAAACTCTTGAAATTTCAATTTCAGGTATCCACATTTTAATACAGTTAGATCATGTGCACATTTACAAGGCAGAGGACTTGAGAAATTAAATAAATATTAAAGGAAGAGGCAAAATATATACTGAATGTAATTTAACCTGTAGGAAATACTCTATGAACAGTCTTATAGTATATATTTTATACATAATCTATCTTACAATTTCAATACCTAATTTGGCCATTTATCTTTTGCAATGAAGCAACTAGAACAACAAGATGGTTTCACTGAATAATTGTTTAATACATAATCTATCAGTTAGGAAACTCATTAGAAAATTTGAAATGTGTACAGCTGAACTGATATTTATTTTGGACCAAATCCTCAGCCCAGAGCATTGTATTTATTTCTTATTTATCTATATTCTATGTTGCTCCCCAGAATCATATAGAGTAAGTTTAATAAACAAAGAATACTATACATAAGAAACAATAAATTAGAAATAGGTAATAAAAAGCAAGGAGAAAAAAAGGAGTAGAATTAACGCCCTGTGATTTTCTGCACTTGGAATAAGTAGTCCCTGAGATGACGTGGCTGGAGCACCTCAGGAGCTAGCTGTGGCTGAAACTTCAGAAGTGCTAGGGACTAGAGATGGAGGCAACAGTATGGCCTCCCGGCACTGCCTTAGGCAGTGATTTGTACTCTTCACACCTCTGCTTTAACTGTGTGCCCAGATAATTAAGAACCATTATCCCTAGTATCTGAAAGACAATTAGATGTGGATTATAGAAAACATATTAGCACAAAAGACTTCAAAATGCAGCATGGATGAGAGATATACTGTAGAAAACTAACTATATAGACAATGCTAAAAAGAAATATTTAATGTTGGTGAAATATAATTAACAAGAAAATCTCCCAACGCAAAAAACTCCTCCAGAAAAATAGAAGAAAAACAATTTTATTACTGAATGAACGTTAAACTAGAATGTGATATACATCACAGGCAATCCTCTAAGAGAATGCAAAGACAAAAATTTTACCTTTCTATACATCCAAGCAGATAACAACAAATTACACACATATTCTCAAGATAAGAGGATTGACAGCACATTTTTCATGCAGTGTTTAGCCTAAAGTCACTTCATAACTGAGGTGACCAGCTTAGTTAACCAATTGGCTTTATCCAAAGGTAAAATAAACTACTCATATCTTCATGACAAAAAAATAGTTTTGCAACTCTTTCATATCCATATTCCATGTGGATGCCCAGAGGGAGGCATCCACAGAAGTTAGGCTCCAGCCCTACCGTGGACACTGTGAGATAGGGGTACTATCTTTCTAGGTGATTGCATATCAAGGAGAGAATTCTTAAGTCTTTGAGCAAGACATTTCAGAAATCATAATTCTGACATGAGGCTTATTTAGCTCTAAAAAAGGTCACATACATTTCAGAGACAGGGATAACTTATAATTACAACTTTTCTTAATATAAATGCTTTTAGAAAAGGGAGGGTGTGGGAGTGTCTTCCCTTACACTGAACAATTTGTATTTTCTCTTTTAACAGTTAACAAGATTTTTAATTATTTGATAAGTCCATAAGAGTTAGATAGTACATGATTCTTTACCATGAGTAAAGACGGTGATTTTATAAAGGTAGTTTTAAAATTGACTGTGATGCTGCCAGACCTTGGAATTATCTGTTGAAGATTTTATGGTGCTGTCTTGCTGGAAAAGCACAAGCAATTTGAGCCATGTTAACCTACGAGAATTTGTGACAGAATCTGCCTGTAGCAATTTCCTACTACGCTAAACACCTTGTATTTTTTATTCTCTTGTTTTTTTCTCTAGAAATCAGGTGGGTTTTCTTCTTGTTTATATTTATTTTGAGGAATTTTACCCTACCAACAAAAGCAGAGCTCAGAATTTTGTACTTACTGCAAACAAAAATAATTTATCCTAAATTTTCTTTTCAATAACAATGGCCTCTTTAGTCTTATTTTAAAGACATATGTACTTCTGAAAATTAATTAAAGGCTTATACTTTTGCTAATACAAAAAGGGATGTGAATAATACATTTTGTATTAAGGTGACAATTTAATAACAATATACATACTGAATTTTAAAAGTTTTAAAGTTGTTTATACATTATCAAGACCTGTTATCAAAGTCAGACTGGAGTCATGCATTAAAAAGTTAAAGAAGGAAAAGTGAAAGTGTTGATTTTTACTCAAGATAAATATTATTTCTAGGTCTGTTCATTTAATGATACCTAGCAACACCACATGCTATTTCTGTGTGCAGATATCACTGAAGACTGTCAGTAGGCTTTCAAAATAAAAGAGTATTTATAGAATTAAAATACACTAGCTTTTAGTTGTTGACAGGCTAGAACAGAAATTTTACTCTGAAACAATTTAACATATTTATTTTTAGAGTTGGTTTGTGTAGGTTGACTACTATTTCTTGCCTTTATATTATTTTAATAGTATTGTTTATTTACAATTGTGAAATTCTTACATGATAAGAGCAGCAGGGAGTCTGAATACATAGCTGACCTCTGAAAAGCCTAATTAAACGCTATCTCAAACCTCAGAACTGTACAAATATAGAGCAATGTAACAAGTGCTATGAAGATGTGAGAATATCTCCCATATACTTGGTTTCTTGGTAACTAGTGATTTTACTCAAGTCATTATTAAAAAAAACACAACAACACTAGGGACACTTGGACTTATGCTTTGTTTTTCTACAGCTAAACAAATTATAAAATTTTTATAGAAAGTAAGTAAATTTTATTTGTCATATAATCTCCCTGGCTCTACACTAAGGATATATTTGCAGTTTAAGGCCAGCTCCTGACTTATCAGCTGTGGTTCACCTTATCAATGCTTCATTAGTCAACTGTTTTTTCCAATAAAATGATCAATTATTTTCTCTTTTATACTGTTTTTTTTTAAACACCAGGGGTACAATAAGGAGTTTAATTTTGGGGAATTTCAAATGCATATATTATGTAGACTTAGTGGAATAATGAAACCACATCATTCAGTTACAAAAGTTATCGAATCAAGGCCAGTCCTGACCTGCTAATAATCTTAAAAAGCTCTTAAACATAATTATCATTTCATTTTTAAGTATTTCAGTCTGTATCCCCAAAAGACAAGGACTTTTTTCAACATGATCACAAAAAAATGGTTCTTATCCATTTTCTAGCTCCAGTACTTTAAGTTCTGTTTTTGTTTTGTTTTAGTTGCTTATATCATAAACTTTAACGTCTGCTTAAGTCAGAAAAACATGGAGAAATAAACATAGCATACAAGAATTATAAACCAATTAATGAATAAGAAATGTCCTATCTGTTGCTATTACCAGGTCACTACTGTAAATAAACTAATTCAGTATGATATATTTATAGAAGCAGGACATATTTTAGGCTTACTGTGAATAGCTTCTAAGGATAACAATTATATAAATTAGAGATGTGAAAATATATACTTAGTAAGACAAAGTTGAATGATAAATATATCTATTCTTACATAAATGATAAATATGTTACTTAGTTATCTTTAAATAAAAGTAACCAAGTTATTTTTCCATTTGTGAGTACATTCAAAAAACTTTCTCAATTATATTAACATATAAAATTCCAACCTATGCCACTCTCCTAGTCACTTGTCATCCTGCAACTCTAGCAACATTCTAGCAGTTCTTAAATTATGTCCACCACTCCACCTGAAAGCATTTTTACTTGTTCTCTATGACAGTTTCCCCATTTCCACAACGCCAGGCTCAATTCTTTGAATAATATCCTTGTGATCCTTCAATTCTTCCTCCAGTCTACTACCCTCTGTTAGAGGAACCTATTTCCTTCACGGCAGGTTTCATGAAATGTGCTTATATATTTGCTTGTTTAGTTGCTTACTGTCTATATATGTGGCTAGTCTCTGTTTAATACAATACTTTTAAAATGATTCCACTAGCAGAGGCAACCATCTACCTTATTTTTCTCTTATGTCCAGGACAATCTAGACAAAACTTTTATGAATCACCTCTCCAATACTTCTTGAAACACACTTACATATAAGCTTCACTTTGGTAGTGCTGAACTAACTTCAGTTTCTTTAAAGCATCAGTAAATTTCATGTGTTCATGCATTCACACATTCTTTTTTTCCAGGAGATCCTAACTTCACCCCTACTAACCTTTCATCTGTCACGCTCTGTTTCTGTCTTGTCTATCTTCATCTGTTACTGGCTGAACAGCCCATAGGCGAGAACATCCTGATAGCTGACTAGATAATTAACTCTTTGAAAGCAGGGACTTTAATGTTGATTGTTACACCACAGACTGGCAATATCTGTTGCATAGGAGATGATTGATGAGTGTGTACTTAATGAATTAGGAGCATTCTAAAATTTTGATGGCATTGATTTTATATAAGATAAAAGAAATTGTTTGATAAATGTCACAAACCTAAATGAATCACTAATGTTAAAAATTTTAGGAACTTGATCATGAGTCACCACATGAGGTGGTAGACTGAAGAAACATTCTTGCTTGGAACAGTTGTGCATGTTGAGACAGAGATTACAATTAGACTTATGTGTGATAAAAACAACATCGCATACATAAATATAAGAAAACAAGATCAAAACTTAGCAGACATTAGCAGAAAAACAAAGGATTTTTTTCTTAGATGTGCATTTGGCCAAGGAATTTAATGAGTCATTTGGAAAAAATGATTCAAAGTTATTATAAAAACTCTAAAGACCATTATTAGGTTTTATATCTATTTTTCTACTTGGAATTTAGATGTATAATAGTAAACCAACACTATTTTTATTCCAGAGTGTGAATTCAAGTATTCTCAGGTAATTCATTTTTTACTTATTATTTTTCAAGTTGAAGAAACACTTATTGATGTACATGACTATCATAGTCAATATTTTGGTACTTTACATGGCTTTTTCAGTCCAGAAAAAGAAAACAAAAGCAAAAAGTGGAAATAAATAATTTGTCAACACTATGTGATCATTAGGACATAATTACTTAAGCAGTAATGCAAAAGTTAACTACTGGTGAATAATTGCTAATACAACATTGCACTAGTTTTTTAAAAATTGGCTGAAATATTAGACTTAGAGAAAGTGTAATTTATAAAATTTTATTAGGGGAAACTATATTTAAATCTCAAAATTTAATGTTTTTTGACTTACCTTTTGATTGTTGTGTACTTTTCTTAATATCAAATGTAAGTGTCAGAAATTCATCATATCAAAGTTTTCCTTTTTTTCTTTCCCCTCCAAGCATAGTAAGTGTTTGGAATGTACTACTGTTTTTTTTTAACATTTAATAAATTATAAAGAAATGGATATAACACACATCATGTCATACTTCTTACAAAGTAATGTCTCTTAGGTGTATGAATAAATGAAAGAACAAATCAGTTACAACAAACATAGATGCTAGATATTTCCCTTAGGGATTAAAACACAAGAACAGCTACTATTTCCAAGGAAGACCTGATGGGTGGTATGTTTTATTTATTTAATAATTAATTTTTAAAGTTTTATTTCAGGTTCAGGGGTGCATATACATGTTTGTTATAGAGGTAAATTTCAAGTTATAGGGGCTTGGTGTTACATATTATTTCATCTGTAAGTTTTTTGATCCTCTCCTTCCATTCTCCACCACCAAGTAAACCTGTGTCCATAAGTGCTTAATGTTTAGCTCCCACTTATAAGTGAGGACATGTGCTATTTGGTTTTCTGTCCCTGCATTAGTTCGCTTAGGATAATAGCCTCCAGCTCCATCTTATTGCTTTCTATGCCTGGGTAGTATTCCAGGGTGTATATGTACCATATTTTATTCATCCAGTCTACCATTGACGGGCATTTGGGTTGATCCCATGTCTTTGTATTGTAAATAGTGCTGCAATGAGCAAACATGCACGTGTTTTTATAGTAGAATGGTTTATATTCTTTTGGGTATATACCCAATAAGGAGATTGCTGGCTTAAATGGTAATTCTGTTTTAAGCTCTTTGAGAAATTGCCACGATGCTTTCCATGGTGGCTGAACTAATTTACATTCCTACAGCAGTGCATAAGTATTCCTTTTTGCACAACCTCACCAACATCTGTTTTTCAACTTTTCAATAGTAGCCATTCTGATGGGTGTGAGATGGTACCTCATTGTGGTTTTGATTTGCATTTCTGTAATCATTATGTTACCGTCTGATAGTCTGCTTAGTCGCTCATTCAGCTAGGTCCAAATTCTTTTACCATGACCCCAAAGAAGTAGGCACGTGGACACCAGAAAGTGATTAGAGTAGGATTTATTAAGCAAAAGGAATGCTCTCAGCAAAGAGAGAGGGCCTGAAAGCAGGTTGCCAGAAACAGTATTGAATTCTGAATTCTGTGTCTTTTATGTGGCAGAAGCCAGGAAGTCTTCCGTGGGTTTGCCCAAATGGTAGGGGATAAAGTTCCCTCCTAGGAGTGTTGCATCTGCGCGTGACTGGGGTTGCCCAGAGTGACTCCATTTTGGTTATTACCCATGAGTGCCTAAGCAAAACCCACAGGTGACTAAAACCATGATGCTAACGTAATGTTAATGACATAATAATCTGGGTCAAGTTAAGGATATTTAGGTTGATTTATTGCACCTGCGCCTAAGTTGGGACAGTCCCTTCTGAACAACCTCCTGGCACAAGAGGACATTCTTCACCACATTTCTTCCTGTTAGCTGTAGAGGCAGTGTAGGCGCTATTCTGCGATTGTTCCTGTGAACATTGCCCTTCTCTGTCCTTCTCCCAAGACCCTCCCTTTCTACCTGCCTAAACAGCCCCTAACTGCCTCCTGTCTCAATTAGTGAAGAGCATTTTTTTCATAGGTTTGTTGGCTGTGTGTATGTTTTCCTTTGAGAAGTGTCTATTCATGTCCTTTGCCCACTTCTTAATAGGGTTGTTTGTTTTTGCTTGTTAACTTGTTAAGTTACTTCTAAATTATGGATAGTAGACCTTTATTGGATACACAGTTTGCAAATATTTTCTCCCATTCTGTTGGTTGTCTGTTTACTCTGTTGACAGTTCCTTTTGCTGTGCAGAAGCTCTTCAGTTTAATCAGGTCCCTTTTGTCAATTCAGTTAGCTAGTATTCTCTTGAGAATTTTTGCATGTATGTTCATCAGGAATATTGGCCTGTGGTTACAGTTATGTGTGTATATATACATATATTGTTATGTGTGTATACATATGTCAGTTACCATAGGCTCATTTTTAGTTAAGGGGCTTATTCATTTCACTCTCATCACAACACTGTGGGGATAAACACTATCATTAGCTCTGATGAGGATAATGAAATACTGAGGGTTTAAGATTATAAATGGCAGATGAAGACTTCAAATTCAAGAAGTCTGGATCTAGAGTTCAAAACTTAATCATATGAGCACTGCTTTTTATTACCTTGTCATATGGTAAGAAGAATGTTACAAAATTGCTAATTCAGAGTGACAGGCTGAGGAGGGATGTCAAGCAAGTTCATGACCTAGATTGTCATACTGAGAGTCCATTCTGTTCACTAAATAGATGCGGTTATAAATATGGATATAGATATGGATCAGAGCATTTATACACATGGAGATATAGTTATGTTTAGATCTCCAGTTACAAGGATTCCGGACTTTAACTACTCTGAAAATATTTGTCAGTTTTTTGTAATGATGAAGCAGGCTGAAGAATCATGGTTTAATTCAGAAGTATTTTCCTCAACAGAGGACATAAACCGTAACACCTAAACAACATCAATTATACCAACAATGAGAAAGTTCAATCCATCAGATATCTTCACAAATATCAAGACAATCATACTCAAGTGTCCGGGAGGTTTTAAACTGGATGACATACATACATTTCTAAAACTGGATATGCCTGATTTTAAAGATTCAGCAAAATTAAAGAGAAAGAGAGATTTTTTATTTTGTGCCTTGTCATTATTGGATTTTCTTTCCATCTCTCTCAGGAATATAAAAGCTTAACTAGTCTCACCCTCTTTTCAATTAATTCTAATCTAGAATCTATATCACTGTTGAAATGTCTTCTGCTTCTACATCAGTTTACAGGAATTTTGGCCTGACTTTTCCAAGTTCACATCCTTCTGTTATATAAAAAGATTAAGATCTGATTCATCAAGGGTCAGTATTATGAAAAGAGCAACCAATAATGAGTATATTTGTTTGTCATGGTAAATATATTGATTACTAGTTAGATGGATTTTAAGAAGATTATGAAATTGCTATCAGATATTAATTTGGAGGTTATGCTACTTATTTTCCTCATCTAATGTCAGATTTAGTTTAAATGTGAGCTATTGTCACTTGTGCCTAGGTGCCTATGTTGAGCAATACAATAATCTAGTGCTGTAAAAATGGGCCACAATATTAAAATATGAAGCAACCATATCGATATTAAACTTCCTGGCCATTCACTCACAAGTTATGTATATAAGCTTACATAAACAAGAGTTTGCATGAGAATTGTAAAAAAATAGGCCATAATTTCAGGAGGCTTTATGTTAATGTGTAAGTTAAAAATAGAAAACGAAAAAAAGGAAAGTCTCATGTAATTAAATTAGCCATTTCATTCCGTAAATGAAGGCATAGTTTCTTCTTTGAGAAGTGTTTTGTAAAGCACCAAAGATTAAAATTTTTCTCATCTGTTTGTTGGATGAAATTATGCAAGATTGTATAGCAGAAACCCATCTTGACAAGCACGTAATGGAAAACTGCTTCTATTTTTGCAATTTCAGAAAATGGTTCAAAAAGCTGTACATTATGTGATCAACAAAAAGTAAATGACTATAGTCATAGCTCTGTCTATTTATTTCTAAAATGTTTCTTTTTCAAATGATCTAAGGAAAGAAACTTTAAGTAAATAAAGTGGAAATTGAAGTTTATGATTCCATCATGCTTAAATTTCAATGATTATAGTAAGCGCTATATAGACGCTTCCTGTTCTGTATGATTCTTATAATTTTTCAGAAAATATTTCACGTACATTTCTTACATCACTAAGGTCTTTCTAGTGACTTTTCCCCCAAAAATTACTTATTGACTTAATATTATTTATCTTGTTTTTTTTCCACATACAACACTAATAATTAAAATTCCAAAAGACAGGAATTCAGGCATCTTAAAAATAAAGATAATTAGTTTTAGAAATGTTATTAGGCATTTTTCAATTAGATGTATTACTGTTTTACAAATGAAAAGATTGAGACTCAAAGAGAATAAATTATTTGCCTAAGGTTATGCAAATTTTTTTATTTAAGTTTTTATTATTCTTTAAGGGAGTTCTTACATAAGATATATTAAATAATTAAAAATAATATCATGCCTAAAATTCAAAACTATTTTGGAAGTAATATTGTATAATTCATAAAAATTCCTAAAAATATGCCAAAATGGACTTAAAAGATTTTTAAAATAAAAATGACTATTTTATAATGAAAGTAAATTATATCTTTGATAAAGTTATGGCTTAAAGAAAAATTGTCTTAGAAGACAATACGATGCTTTTTATTCCCCCCTTTACTTTGATGCTGATTTCTCTATCAGGTTCTAATTGGTGATAAAGAAGACAATGTAGTACACAGAAAAGGAATAACATTTTCAATTTAGCAGTACTGATTATTGCTTTACAATTAATTTGTATATATCTGCCATTACTGAATTTTGTGAAGCATACCTTCCAGATGAATCAGCCAGAAAGGGCTGATTTTTTTTCTATTTTTTCTAGCTACTTTAGTACAACAGTAGGAATATGGCTTATTTTCTTGGAACCTCAAATCTTCTCATTCTTAAAATGGTTATATACCTAATATAGAATTATCAATAAATATTTCTGAAGATAATTGTAGTATTTATTTTTATGGTGCCTCAAATTCTATTATTTGAAATTGTCATAATTTCTTGATTTTGCAATAAAAAAGAACAAAAATAAACAGCATTAAGTTGATCAGTAA
The DNA here is from genome assembly GCF_000001405.40 of Homo sapiens. NCBI lineage: Eukaryota > Metazoa > Chordata > Mammalia > Primates > Hominidae > Homo > Homo sapiens. The sequence goes on along the minus strand of NC_000005.10, from coordinate 99,766,021 downwards.
TTTGGGGGGAAGGGTGATGAAAAAGTTCTTAGGTATATGGGAAATTTAGGTTAAGTATATCTAGAAATATTCTAAGGACTTCTGTCTGACCTTTACTGAAAAGCAAAATAGAAAGGAGAAAGAAAGAGAGAGAGAAAGAAAGAAGGAAAGAAAGAAAGAAAGAAGAAAGAAAGAAAGAAAAAAGAGAAAGAAAGATTGAAAAAGCATATGTTTTTATAGAAAAAATTGCATAATGGTGTTTTTTAAGCTTGAATAATTCTGTAATTCTGCATTAAAACATATTTAAATAATTTGAATTACACATTGTACACATTGTCAAAGTATCATGGATTATTCTCACTGAATGATTACCTCTGAGCCAATCACAATTTCCAAGGAGACTATTTATAGATGACTATTAAGTTCCCATATTTAGTGGAGTGGAGTTTACTTATAAGTAAGGAGTTCCTGTGTATTATAAAAATATAATTTGAGAGATCTTTAGCCACTATATTTAAATATTAATCTACTCTCAGAATAATTATTCTTACATGTGTTTTATCTTTGGATGTGAAAAAATAAAATAAAAATAAATTCTTTAACAAATACTGTAAAAAGCAGGGATGGAGGACAAAAAGAATTTCAACTGTTAAGTTAGTGAACATAAATATTAAATCAGCTGCTATAATAGCTATAAGGTTTTCTTCACTGATTTTAGCTGAACTTGTCTTCTAGCACTCTAGCAGAATATAAACGCAATATCAAAATGGAGCTGTCAGTTTTTGGCAGTATGCCATTTAGTTACCCTGAACAACAACAATAACAAAACGATAAATATTCAGAGGCCAAAAATCATATAAAAGTGACTAAGAAATTGTACAAGCATGGCTGGCAGATGACCAGGGGACATGTATTAAATCCCATTTGCCTAGATTTTCCCTTTTTTACAGGACCTAAGGAAGAGGGGACAAGCCTGCGGTCCAATAAAAATGGGGAAATCAGAACCAATAGAACCTGCATAAATATGGCACTCCCAAAAGACTCACTCTAGAAGTACATAAACCAGAACATTCTCTACAAAAAAAAAAAAAAAAAAAAAAAAAAAAAAGCAAGGTAAGAAAATGTGTGTGGGGGCCATTGGAATTTCCTCAAAATCTGCAATCACAAGCCAGCCTGCAAATGGGCACTTGTCTAGAATTTTTAATACCTGTGTGATCGGATATAGCCCCCAAACCCCGCTAAGTCAAGGACTTAGTCTAAATCTTCTCCCTGTAAATATTAATGAAAAAATGTGCAAATTATCTATAATAACTTTCACATCAAGCCTTATTATACTCCTATATATTTTTAATGCATCTCTTCTCTCTATCTCTCTCCCTCTCTCTCTCTCACACACACACACACCCTTACATGGAAATAAACCAACATAAGCAAAAATCAGTAGAAGAAAATGAATTTCACAAAACCAACAGCTCTACAAATACTATGTTTTACAATTATAGGATATAAAGTAAAAATACTTAATGTCATCAAATAAACATTGGAGGGAATATGAATTTGAAATTCAATGAATGGTGTAAACAGCAGACTATATATAGATGAATAGATAATAAATCAACAGTAGGATTGTTTTCTTGAATGTCAGAGAGACAAAAATATTTCAACCATGCTAGAGAGACATAAACAATGCCAATGCAGTAAGCCGACTTAAATATGTTTAAGTTATAGAAAATGATACCATATAAAATGGAGAAGAGACACTATTTGAAGTGATACATTTTAAGAATTGTAAAAAATGAACCTCTGGATTCCTGGACAAGATGGACGTATAGAAACAGCTCTGGTCTGCAGCTCCCAGTGAGACCAGTGCAGAGGGTGGGTGATTTCTGCATTTCCAACTGACGTACCCAGTTCATCTCATTGGGACTGGTTAGGCAGTGGGTACAGCCTGTGGAAGGAGAGAGAAGCAGGGTGGGGCATCACCTCACCGGGGAAGCACAAGGGGTCAGGGAACTCCCCTAGCCAAGGGAAGCCATGAGGGACAGTGCTATCCAGCCCAGATACTACTCTTTTCCTGGTCTTTGCAACCCACAGACCAGGAGATTCCCTCCGGTGCCACACCACAAGGGCCCTGGGTTTCAAGCACAAAAGTGAGCAGCCATTTGGGCAGACACTTAGCTAGCTGCAGGAGGGTTTTTTTGCACCACAGTTGTGCCTGGGACTCCAGCAAGACAGACCGTTCACTCCCCTGGAAAAAGGGCTGAAGTCAGGGAACCGAGTGGTCTTGCTCAGCGGATCCCACCCCCACGGAGCCCAGCGAACTCAGATCCACTGGCTTGAAATTCTCGCTGCCCACATGGCAGTCTGAAGTCGGCCTGGGACACTCTAGCTTGGTGGGGGGAGGGGTGTCAGCCATTACTGGGGCTTGAGTAGGCAGTTTTCCCCTCACAATGTAAACAAAGTCATCAGGATATTCAGACTGGGTGGAGCCCACTGCAGCACCACAAAGCCGCTGTAGCCAAACTGCCTCTCTAGATTCCTCCTCCCTGGGCAGGCCATCTCTGAAAGAAAGGCAGCAGCCCCTGTCAGGGACTCATAGAAAAAACTCCCATCTCACTGGGACAGAGCACCTGGGGGAAGAGGCAGATAGGGGCGCAGCTTCAGCAGACTTAAACATTCCTGCCTGGCAATTCTGAAAAGAGCAGCAGATCTCCCAGCAGCACACTGGAACTCTGCTAAGGGACAGACTGCCTCCTCATGTGGGTCCCTGACCTTCATGCATCCTGATGAGGAGACACGTCCCAGCAGGGGTCGAAGGACACCTCATGTAGGAGAGCTCTGGCTGGCATCTGGCGGGTTCCCCTCTGGGACAAAGCTTCCAGGGGAAGGAGCAGGCAGCAATCTTTGCTGTTCTGCACCCTCTGCTGGTGATACCCAGGAAAACAGGGTCTGGAGTGGATCCCCAGCAAACTCCAGCAGACCTGCAGAAGAAGGGCCTGTCAGAAGGAAAATTAACAAACAAAAAGCAATAGCATCAACATCAACAAAAAGGATGACCATGCAGAAATTCCATCTGAAGGTCACCAACAACAAAGACCAAAGCTAGATAAATCCACGAAGATGAGGAAAAACCAATAAAAAAGCCTGAAAACTACACAAACCAGAATGCCTCTTCTCCTCAAAAGGATCACAACTCCTCGCCAGCAAGGGAACCAAACTGGATGGAGAATGAGTTTGACAGAAGTAGGCTTCAGAAGGTGGGTGATAACAAACTCCTCTGACCTAAACGAGCATGTTCTAACCCAATGCAAGGAAGCTAAGAAACTTGATAAAATGTTAGAGGAATTGCTAACTAGAATATCCAGTTTAGAGAAGAACATAAATGACCTGATGGAGCTGAAAAACACAGTACGAGAACTTAGTGAAGCATACACAAGTATCAATAGCTGAATCAATCAAGCAGAATAAAGGATATCCAAGATTGAAGATCAATGTAATGAAATAAAGCATGAAGACAAGATTAGAGAAAAAAGAACAAAAAGGAATGAACAAACCCTCCAAGAAATATGGGACTATGTGAGAAGACCAAACCTAAGATTGATTGGTGTACCAGAAAGTGACAGGGAGAATGAAACCATTCAAATTGAGGAAATAGAGAGAACATCACAAAGATACTCCTCGAGAAGAGCAATCCCAAGACACATAATCATCAGATTCACCAAGGTTGAAATGAAGGAAAAAATGTTAAGGGCAGCCAGAGAGAAAGGTCAGGTTACCCACAAAGGGAAGCCCATCAGACTAACAGCGGATCTCTCTCCAGAAACCCTACAAGCCAGAAGAAAGTAGGGGCCAATATTCAATATTCTTAAAGAAAATGATTTTCAACCTAGAATTTCATCAGCCAAACTAAGCCTCATAAGTGAAGGAGAAAAAAAGTCCTTTACAGACAAGCAAATGCTAAGAAATTTTGTCACCACCAGGCCTGCCTTACAAGAGCTCCTGAAGGAAGCACTAAAAATGAAAAAGGAAAACTGGTACCAGCCACTGCAAAAACAAACCAAAATGTAAAGACCATCTAGACTATGAAGAAACCGCATCAACTAATGGAAAAATAACTAGCTAGCATCATAATGACAGGATCAAACTCACACATAACAATATTAACCTTAAATGTAAATGGGCTAAATGCCCCAATTAAAAGGCACAGACTGGCAAATTGGTTAAAATGTCAAGACCCATTGGTGTGCTGTATATAGGAGACACATTTCATGTGCAAAGACACTCATAGGCCCAAAATAAAGGGATGGAGGAAGATTTACCAAGTGAATGGAAAGAAAAAAAAAAAAAAGCAGGGGTTGCAATCTAGTCTCTGATAAAACAGACTTTAAACCAACAAAGATAAAAAAAGACAAAGAAGGGCATTACATAATGATAAAGGAATCAATGCAACAAGAAGAGCTAACTATCCTGAATATATATGCACCCAACACAGGAGCACCCAGATTCATAAAGCAAGTTCTTAGAGAACTACAAAGAGACTTAGACTCCCACACAATAATAACGGGAGACTTTAACACCCCACTGTCAACATTAGACAGGTCAATGAGACAGAGAATTAACAAGGATATCCAGGACTTGAACTCAGTTCTGGACCAAGCGGACCTAATAGAAATCTACGGAGCTCTCTACTCCAAATCAAGAGAATATACGTTCTTCTCAGCACCACATTGCAGTTATTCTAAAATCGACCACATAATTGGAAGCAAAACGCTCCTCAGCAAATGCAGAGGAATGGAAATCATAACAAATAGTCGCTCAGACCACAGTGCAATCAAATTAGGACTCAGGATTAAGAAACTCATTGAAAACCACACAAGTACACGGGAACTGAACAACCGGCTCCTGAATGAGTACTGGGTAAATAACGAAATTAAGACAGAAATAAATAAGTTCCTTGAAACCAATGAGAACAGGTAAAGCAGTGTTTAGAGAGAAATTTATAGCACTAAATACCCACAGGAGAAAGCAGGAAACTTTAAAATTAACATCCTAATATCACAATTAATAGAACTAGAGAAGCAAGAGGAAACAAATTCAAAAGCTAGCAGACGACAAGAAATAACTAAGATTAGAGCAAGACTGAAGGAGGTAGAGACACAAGAAACCTTTCAAAAATCAATAAATCCAGGAGATTTTTTTTAAAAAAGATTAACAAAATAGATAGATGGCTAGCCAGATTAATAAAGAAGAAAAGAGAGAAGAATCAAATAGACACAATAAAAAATGATACGAGGGATATCACCACTGATCCCACAGAAATACAAACTACCATCAGAGAATACTATAAATACCTCTACACAAATAAACTAGAAAATCTAAAAGAAATGTATACATTCCTGTACACAAACACCTTCCCAAGACTAAACCAGGAAGAAGTCAAATCCCTGAATAGACCAATAACAAGTTCATAAGTTGAGGCAGTAATTAATAGCCTACCAAGTAAAAAATCCCAGGACCAAATGGATTCATAGCTGAATTCTACCAGAGGTACAAAGAGGAGCTGGTACCATTCCTTCTGAAACTATTCCAAACAATATAAAAAGAGGGACTCCTCCCTAACTCATTTTATAAGGCCAGCATCATCCTGATACCAAAATGTGGCAGAGACATACATAAAAAAAGAAAATTTCAGGCCAATATACCTGATGAACATCAATGTGAAAATCCTCAATAAAATACTGGCAAACCGAATCCAGCAGCATATTAAAAAGCTTATCCACCACGATCAAGTTAGCTTCATCCCTGGGATGCAAGGCTGGTTCAATATATGCAAATCAATAAACGTAATCCATCACATAAACAGAACCAATGACAAAACCCACATGATTATCTTAATAGATGCAGAAAAGGCCTTTGATAAAATTCAACATCCCTTCATGCTAAAAACTTCCATAAACTAGGTATTAATGGAATATATCTCAAAATAATAAGTTATTTATGACAAACTCATAGCCAATATCATACTGAATGGGCAAAAGCTGGAAGCATTTCCGTTGAAAACTGGCACAAGACAAGGATGCCCTCTCTCACCACTCCTATTCAACATAGTATTGGAAGTTCTGGCCAGAGCAATCAGCAAAGAGAAACAAATAAAGGGTATTCAAATAGGAAGAGAGGAAGTCAAATTATCTCTGTTTGCAGATGGCATGATTGTATATTTAGAAAACCCCATCGTCTCAGCCCAAAAACTCCTTAAGCTGATAAGCAACTTCAGCAAAGTCTCAGGATAGAAAATCAACATGCAAAAATCACAAGCATTCCTATACACCAATAACAGACAAACAGAGAGGCAAACCATGAGCACACTCCCATTCATAATCACTACAAAGAGAATAAAATACCTAGGAATACAAATTACAAGGAAGGTGAAGGACCTTTTCAAGGAGAACTACAAGCCACTGCTCAAGGAAATTAGAAAGGACACAAATAAATGGAAAAACATTCCACGCTCATGCATAGGAAGAATCAATATCGTGAAAATGGCCATACGGCACAAAGTAATTCATAGGTTCAATGCTATTCCCATCAAGCTACCATTGACTTTCTCCACAGAATCAGAAAAAAAAATGATTTTAAATTTTATATGAAACCAAAAGAGCCCATATATCCAAGACAATCCTAAGCCAAAAGAGCAAAGCTGGAGGCATCACGCTACCTGACTTCAAATTATACTACAAGACTACAGTAACCTAAACAGCATGGTATTGGTACCAAAGCAAATATATAGACCAAAGGAACAGAACACACACCTCAGAAATAACACCACACATCTACAACCATATGATCTTTGACAAACCTGATGGAAACAAGCAATGGAGAAAATATTCCCTATTTAATAAATGGTGTTGGGAAAACTGGCTAGCCTGTGCAGAAAACTGAACCTGGACCCCTTCTTTACACCTTATACAAAAATTAACTCAAGATGGATTAAATATTTAAATGTAAGACCTAAAAGTATAAAATCACTAGAAGAAAACCTAGGCAATACTATTTAGGACATAGGCATGGGCAAAGACTTCATGACTAAAACATAAAAAGCAATGGCAACAAAAGCCAAAATTGACAAATGAGATCTAATTAAACTAAAGAGCTTCTGCACAGAAAAGAAACTACCATCAGAGTGAACAGGCAACTACAGTATGGGACAAATTTTTGCAATATATCCATTTGACAAAGGGCTAATATCCAGAATCTACGAGGAACTTAAATAAATTTACAAGAAAAAAAATAAAAATAAAACAACCCCCAACAAAAAGTGGGTGAAGTATATGAACAGACACTTTTCAAAAGAAGACATTTATGTGGCCAAAAAACATATGAAAAAAGCTCATGATCGCTGGTCATTAGAGAAACGCAAGTCAAAACCACAATGAGATACCATCTCATGACAGCTAGAATGGCGATAATTAAAAAGTCAGGAATCAACAGATGCTGGAGAGGAAGTGAAGAAATAATAATGCTTTTACACTGTCGGAAGGAGTGTAAATTAGTTCAACCATTGTGGAAGACAATGTGGCGATTCCTCAAGCAACTAGAACTAGAAATACCATTTGACCCAGCAATCCCATTACTGAGTATATACCCAAAGGATTGTACATCATTCTACTATAAAGACTCAAGCACACTTATGTTTACTGCAGCACTATTAACAATAGCAAAGACTTGGAACCAACCCACATGCCCATCAATGTTAGACTGGAAAAAAAAGACGTGGAACTTGTTCCACATATACACCATGGAATACTGTGCAGCCATAAAAGGAATGAGTTCATGTCCCTACAAAGGGATGAAGCTGGAAACCATCATTCTCAGCAAACTAACACAGTAACAGAAAACCAAATACCACATCTTCTCACTCATAAGTGGGTGTTCAACAATGAGAACATATGGGCCCAGGGAGGGGAACATCACACACTGGGGCCTGTTCGGGGGTGGGAGAAAAGGGGAGGGAGAGCATTAGGAGAAATATTTAATGTAGGTGACAGGTTTATGGGTACAGCAAACCACCATCGCACATGTATACCTATTTACAAACCTGTACTTGTAATTAAAAAAAAAAAAAGAAATGAACCTTTGATTCAGGAAACCCAACATATACCAACCATGATTTAAAAACATAATATAATCCATACCTAAACATATAGTAGTGAAATATTTCAATATTAAAGACTAAGAGAAGTTCTTAATGGCTCTTAACCTGCCAAAAAGCCCTTAATTGTTCTTAACCTGGTAGAAATGACAGCTTAAAAAATGTCTTTCAAGAGAGAAGGGGAAAAAAGACATTTGCAAATGCTGGTAATTTACTATTAAATGACGCCCATTAGAACAATATCTAAAAGATGCCAAGGAAGAAGGAAAATGGTCAAGGACAAAGATCTGTGATGTAAGGAATAGTGTGCTAAAAAAAACAAGTGAGCATGTGGATAAGTGTGTACCATGCACACACACATAGACACACACACACACAAAACAGGACAAATATGTTTTAGAGATTACAAGAGAAACTATGATTTTTAAATGCTTTCAAGAATAAGTAAAAATATTATGAGGCTTGGTCTATTGTTGTAAATTTCATTGATTTGAACGATTTAAAGTACAAGTTAGTAAATCAGAAAGACATGGAAATTTCTTAACAAGTCTTCTGCTTTTATATCAATTGATCCAAATAAAACTTTCAGGAATTTTATTATATTTTATTCTAGAAGAGACTCATAAATTCGTATAGGTGTAAGATAAAGGATATATTTACATTTTCATAAAAGATAGACTATTTTTTCAGTTTCTGAACTGTGTAAAAGTTTGAGAAGAGAATTAAATGTTACTATGAAAATATTGCTACATTTCAAAACCTTGCATTCAGAAATCCACAATTCAAACAATCACCCAAAAACCCTGTTTTGCATAATTTAGGAATAATAATCTAAGGTCCCAAATAAAGCTGACTAAAATAACTGTAAACACAGATGAACTAACAAACTTCAGGTTTATGAATTTGAATTTTAACTGTGATTATTTGTTAACAACCATATTTTCTAACGAAGATGCTATAACATGACATTCATTATAATTGCAAATAATTACAGATGGTGTTAAGTGTTAAAAACTTCTGTCAAAGAAAAAATTGATAAATACTAGCTTAAAATATTGTCATAAATCTTTTTGAAAAAAATAGTATAAATGTTAGCTTGTTTAAAAAATATTACTCTAGAATCATTTTAAGAGCCCATAACCATTTCATTCCAATTAAGCACAAAGAATAATTAATGCATGTTCAGCTGCAAAACAAGTCAGAATAAGTTTTATTTTATAATTATAAAAACCTTGCAACATTCAAAAATAAGGTTAAAGAATCAAAAGCTGTTACAACTCTAGCTCTGTCCATTTCTTTAAAAAAATTATGAAGCATTTTGTAAGAATACGAAGTTTATCCTTACAAAGCATTGTATACTTACAAATTGCTTCAATTTTTACTTAAGAATTAAATAATTTATCCATTTATCAAGAAGTTTATCATCTATCGTGGCCCACAGAGTATCAACCCAGAGTTACAATACAGGCAAATGTTATGTAAGAGATATGCACAGGTTGCTATTTAATCTTAAAGAAGTAGTATAACAAACTTGAGTGTATCGGGAAAAAAAAAAAGCTTATGGGCAGATATGTTTTAGTTACATTTTATTAGTGAAAGAGACCCTAAAATTAATGTAAATATCTGTTGTGTGTGTGTGTGTGTCTGTTTGATCCCAAGACAGTAGACTCTCATGGTTTAGTTACAAAGGTGGGTAAGGAGACAAAAGTCAATAATGTCATTACCCAATTTGACATTGAATTATTGTTGTTACCCTTAGTGTCTCTTTTCACAACCCATTTTCTACTTGGCTTCATAGTTTAAACTTGCTTTTTTTCCCACAGAGTTTTGTTTTTGTATAAATGAACACTTTAAGGAGTCTGGTCAACAATGCTAAATGCTGCGATATTATCTCAGGATTCTGTAGGGCTTCTTTTCTTTTACATCCAGTCCTCCAAATGATAGCTACACATAAAATCTGCGTTCATATTCCCCACAAAAAATACTTCCCAAAACTATTGTGTTTATTTTCACACACTTTCCAAGTTTCTTCATTTTGTTTTTCCAATAGCCAGTGCTGTAATCCTAGGTTTCAGACCTGTTCTCAGTACTACCCAATAAAGATCAGACATTCTTTCTGATGTGCCCCCTCATTGATACATCTGCTTCTCCTCTGCTAGCACCTTAGTAGAGTCTCCTGTATTACACTCAATCCAAAGCTAACTCTTTGAAAAGACTGGTTTTATTTTTATTTTTTTCAACTTTTATTTTATATTCAGGGGGTACAAGTGCATGTTTGTTACCCGGGTATATTTCATAATGCTTAGATTTGTGGTATGATCCTGTCACCCAAGTATTGAGCGTAGTGCCCAATAGGTTTTCAATCCTTTCCCCCCTCCCTAGTAGTCCTCAGTTTCTATTGTTGCCATCTTTAAATCCATGAGTACCTAGTGTTTAGCTCTCACTTGTAAGTGAGAACATGTGGTATTTGGTTTTCTGTTCCTGTGTTAATTTGCTTAGGATAACGGCCTCCAGCTGCATCCACATTGCTGCAAAGGACACAATTTTGTTAGAAGACTAGTTTTAGTGACTTACTCTGCTATTTCTTTTCTCACTGACTATATGTGTATCTGTGTGTGTGTGTGTGTGTGCATATATATATATATATATGTTTGTGATAGTCTCTGTGCTTTAGCTATGTTGTAGGCAGACAGAATATGTGATGCTTTATGTTCCATTGTTGATATTTGTATTTCCTGAAGGATGGGGCCAGCATTTTCCTATGGGAACTATAAAGTCAAAACATAACTTGGTAAAGCAGCCAAGCCAGTTATACAAAATGTACGCTTTTTTTTATTATACTTTAAGTTTTAGGGTACATGTGCACAATGTGCAGGTTAGTTACATATGTATACATGTGCCATGCTGGTGTGCTGCACCCATTAACTGGTCATTTAGCATTAGGTATATCTCCTAAAGCTATCCCTCCCCCCTCCCCCCACCCCACAACAGTCCCCAGAGTGTGATGTTCCCCTTTTTAGTGTTGTCATAGCATTTTATTCTTGCATAGTCTGCTTTGTTCCCCCATCCTTTCTATTTTCTGTAATCTAGAAGTTCGATATAGGGTTAAACTTATTTTATAAAATAAATTATACATGATTGTGTATACTTTATTTTGTATCATAACGGGGGGTGAAGAGTGCAAAGTTGCTTTGTTGCTAGTAAAACCAATTTCACTCATGTGGTTAAGCTGATGACGGTCAGATATCTCTATTTTAATTGAATAGTTTTCCTTCTTAATTAGTTATTAGTAGGAGGACAAAATTCAGTCATCCACACAAAATGTAATTGTCAGGATCTGAAAATTTTATGTGAAGATATAAAAGATAAATCTCTGAAAAACTCTCATTACCAACTCTTTAAAAAACAAGGAAGAAAATATATTTGAAATTTCAGCAAAATCTTATGTTCTTATGTTCGGTTACCTTTGGTAAAAATACCAATGAAATAGAAGTCTTAATATATTAGATAGTTAAAAAAATCACTTAGATTATCTTACCAATACTTTTCAGATCTAAATGGACAGAAATTGAGTAGTGTCCCCAAATTACAAATTTTCCTGAAGCGTATTTCTCTTTTATTGTTGCACTGCCTAAATAAATATACAGAAAACTCCAGAAGGCCAGGTAGAGGAAAATATTATCCCACAAAACAGTGTGTAGTTTGTCAAAGAAAATATAATTGATGACTTTATGAAAAAGTATAATGCTCACTAAGAATGAGAAAAGTATAACAAGACTCAATCAACTAAAGAATACAAGCTACAAACTAAAGATCATATTTAACTAAACTTGATAAAAATGCCTCTAAAATTAATAATTTTAAAATTAGAAACAATTATGTTCACTGACCAGAAAACAATATAATAATATTTTTAACACTTGACTCTTCTTTAAAATATTTAGACTCAGGGAAATTAATAAAGGAAATAAAGTTGGTCAGGGAATATATGCTTAGGAATGTTTACTATCTCTAACCCTTCTTCTCTCTCTCTCTTTTTCCTTTACTGTTCTTTTTTGCCACTGGGAGCTATAGATAAATACATGAATTGGTGCTAAAGAAAAGGATATTTTCATTGGGAGAAGAAGCATAAAGGTCATTGATATTTTCTTGAAACCGTCAGTTATGAATAACTAGATTTGCAGGGAGATACAAGTCTAACTCAGGTGATCTCAAAGGACCCCTTCAAGGTCTTTGATTCTATTACACAGACAACATTCCATGACAGAATAACACAGAATTTAGAGTAAGAAGCTGGAATTTGTGTTCCAACTTTACCTCTGATTGGTATAATATCATGATCAAATCACTATGTCTATCTGTTTTCATTGCTTAATGATGTGCTTGACATAATTATAATAAACTGCCCAGATTACAATGAAGACACACACGTATATCTTTATTAAAATAAACATAGCTAGTAGTGTAGTAATGAATATACACATTTAAAATTATACTAGCTATATTTATTTCAATTAATGTATAAATACATACATATATAAGTAAATTTTCTGTAATTTTAGTTATAGTTCTGTATATAATGCACCCATACAACATAGCTCTATATTTGTCACATCTTTGTTTTACTTAAAATGTTTCCTGGATAATCCCTTTTACAGGTTATAATGTGCTAAGATCAATCTACAGCAGCTCTGTGTTACAGTACAGAATAAAAACCTGTGTTTTACCTGTATGAACTATATAGAATGTTCTTCACACTCAATTGAATGAACAATTGAGTAATTTCCTTTTTCTAATGGACTTAATTAATCAGAGAACTCATGTCTGCTAATGTGCCATCCACAGTAGATTTTAGAGAGTTTATTCTGTTACAAGAGAATTTTAGCGATTAGTGTAATGTATTTAAGTGACATTATTTTTCTCTTCCTAATTAAGTGGCCACTTTATTTTTTAAATGAAATGCATAGAAAATATAACATTAAGTTTGTCAAAAAGGAAGATAATAAATGAGTATCAATTAGATGAAAAGTGAATATTTTTAATAACCAACGTTTATTTTGCTTGAAACCTTATTTCAAAGACACACTATGCTAATAGTTCTCAAAAATTCTTCTTTATGTTCTATTTGTATATTCATGATACACAGATCTCATATTAGGATTCTTCAGAGAAAGAGATGATTAGAACCAATAATTTATATTAAAAGAAACACTTTTACTGTAATATTTTCATTAATGAGTTATCAAGAATAAACTAAAGTTCAGAATCTCACTCCATAGATTTTCAAGTTTGTAGTGTACAAATATGCCCAAATACAGTGAAGAGTGTAATGAAATTAACCTAGTTCTCAGTTCAGGAAACAGATTTAGTCAATCTCAGCAAATCATTTTGTTATTCTTCCTAAGTTATAGTTAAAACAAATTGCATCCTCTTTGAGAATTATGTCTAACCTAGTGGACACATCTTGATTATATTAATCAGAGTTCCAGTGTTCAATATGGTTCTATTAAATTTGTATTACATATAAGATTGACATGTAGTAAAAGGAGAACTAAAAACAAACACCATTATATTATCTATAGAGATTACTTACCCAGTTTTTAATTGGATATCTGTTTCTTTGTTTCTCTTAAGTCACTGAGTTTGTTTTATATTCTGGATATTAGTGCTTTGTCAGATAAATAGTTTATAAATGTATTCTCCCATTTCAAAAAAAAGGAAAAAGAAAGAAAGAAAAAATAACTAGGAATAAATTTAACCAAGAAAGTGAAAGACCTTGACAAGAAAAACTACAAAACAATGAAGAAAGAAATTGAAGAGGGCACAAATAATAAAAAGACATCCAAGATCATGGGTTAGTATAATTCATATTGTTAAAAATGACTGTACTACCCAAAGCAGTCTATAGATTCAATGAAATCTCCAACAATATACCAATGCAAAAAAAAACTAAAATTTTTTTCTGAACCACAATAGACACAGAATAGCCAAAGCAATACTCAGCCAAAATAATAAAGCTGGAGGCATCACACAACCAGATTTCAAAATATATTACAAAGCTATATGTTAACCCAATTAGTGCAGTATTGGCATAAAAACAAAAATATAGACCAATAAAACAGAGTAGAGAGCCCAAACAAAAATACATGCATTAACAACTCATTTTCAACAGAGTCACCAAGAACAAACAGTAGGAAAAGCAAGTCTCTTTAATAAATGGTGAAGATAACTGGATATCCATATGCAGAGAAATGAAACTAAACCCCTATATCTCATCATGTACAAAAATAAAATTGAAATGGATTAAAGACTTAAATATAAACCCTGAAACTATAAAACTATTAGAAAAAAGCCTAGGGGAAACACTTCAAAACATTGGTCTAAGCAAAGATTTTATGGGTAAGAGTTGAAAAGTACAGATAACAGAAACAAAAGTAGACAAATGTGACTGAAATGAAAATGTATCTGCACAGGAAAAACAAATCCACAGAGTGAAGAGACAGCCTATATAATGGGAGAAATACAGACTCATTAGAGACTATTATGCACAAGTATACAATAACACATTGAAATTGAAATTGAAAAATCTAGTATAGCTCTCGTGAAAGACAGTATGTAAGTTTCTCAAAAAACTGAAAATAGAAATACCATACATGCTAGCAGTCCCAATACTGGCTATCTAAAGAAAAGGGAATCAGTATTCCAGAGGGATACCTGCATCCCTATATTCATTGCAACACTATTCACAATAGCCAAGATATAGAATCAACCTAAATGTTCATCAACAAATAAATGGATAAAGAAAATGTTATGTATATATACACAATAGTATACTATTCAGTCATAAAATAAAATCCTATCATTTTCAGTAATGTGGATGGAACTAGAGACCATTATGTTAAGCAAAATAAGTCTGGCAGAGAAAGACAGTTGTCACATCCTTCACTCATATGTAGGAGATTAAAAATGTTGATCTCATGAAGATCATGAAGACAGACAATAATATGATACTTACTAGAGACTGAGAAGGGGTAGGAATGTAGACAGTTTGGTTAATGGATACAAACTTACAGTTAGATAGAAGGAATAAACTCTAGTGCTCGATAGCACAGTAGGATGAATATAGTTAATACCTAGAAGATTTTAAATGTTCCCAATACAAAGTAATAAGAAATGCTCGAGTTGGTGAATATCTTAAGCACCCTAATGTGATCATTGCACATTGCATGCATATATCAAAAAACAAATGCACCCCATAAATGTGTACATTTTTTGTATCAATAAAAAAGTAATAAAAATAATTACAACAAAGTGTGACATTTATTTTCCACTTGTTGGGTATCATGTTCTTCTAAACACTTTTTTTAGTTTATTTCATTTATACCTCACACATTTACATTTCACAACTTATTATAATAATTATTTTATAGATTAAACAATTTAAGTTTGTTTAGAAAAAATAGGTTGTTCATAGTTTCCAATTTAAAGGTGGTGAGAGTAGAATTCAGCTGATGCAATTTGATGCTACAACCTGGAGTAATACATGTTATTCTATAATGCTAAGTCATGACTCCCATCTTTGATTTCTAGGATTTATGCTAAAGCAAGTGCAGCCAAAGACACATAATGATATGGCAGGGGTGCAGGTGGGTGTGGGGTTGGGGAGGTAAGCAGTCCACAGGTGTGTGTATTTCAGGACAGCAGTCAGGATATGAATTCACAAACCCCACCTTTGTACTTGTACCACTGTAAAATGAGCTCCATAAAAGTGTCTGCAGTTAGAAGGTGTAGCCCAAAGTGGCTGCCACCCTCTACTCAAGACTTCTTCAAATAGCTCACAAAATATTTTTCTTTTAGTCACAATTTATGATATGAGTGCATAGGCATAACATCTATCTTCCCAGCACTGCCTACCTTCTCTTAAATTGCTTTACTAATGTTTTAAAGGGAATAATTCTATAGCATGAGTTGAATCCTATTCTTGACCCGTAGTTTGAAAAATCTCAGCCTTCTCAACTTATCTCCAAAATATGTTTTAAATTGAAAATTCTAGGTTGAAAAACTGTGCTACCTTATTTTCCTAGACTTTTGCCTTAGCTTTAAAAGAAGCTATTACCTATGCTAAACTCCTAGGTGAAAAAAAATGTACATATAAGCATTAGCCTTTCAAAATGTTATTTAATTTTATAAAGGCAAATTTATGTTTGCAGGTACTCTGTGACATGTAAAAATCCCACAAAAGTGTTTACAACATGCAGATTATTTAATATTTGTAACACTGTATAATATTGTATCAGATGAAAACAAATTCAATATTTTAAAATCATTCACTTTGATCATTTCAAAGTTACCAATACTAGAAAACATTTTTTGTTTGTTTTGTTTTGTTTTGTTTTGTTTTGTTTTGTTTTGTTTTGTTTTGTGAGAAAGTCTCACTCTCTCACCCAGGCTGGAGAGCAGTGGTGTGATCTCGGCTCACTGCAACATCTGCCCTCTGGGTTCAAGCGATTCTCCTGTGTCAGCTCCCCAAGTAGCTGGGATTACAGGCACCTGCCACCGCGCTGTCTAACTTTTGTATTTTTAGTACAGACAGGGTTTCACCACGTTGACCAGGCTGGTCTTGAACACCTGTCCTCATGATCCATCTGCCTTAGTCTCCTAAAATGCCAGGATTACAGGCGTGAGCCACAGCGCCTGGCCAAACAATTGATTTTAATAATACACATGTATTTTAAAATATGATGTTTTGTGAACAACCATTAACTAAGACAAGAGGACTGGATCAAGTGCCTGCAATTTATTCTTCATAACAGCAAACAAAGTCTGTAAATTAATGATAATACTTGAAAATGTTGGAGCATGATGACATACTAGGACTATAGTAACTGTCCTTCTGCAGAAACAATAATTTGAATAACCATCCACACATGAAAGTATTTTCACAAGAGCTGAGAAAACCAAGTGAGAGTTCACAGTACTTGATTGTAGCACAATAATAAGATAAGGCACATTGAAGAGGATAGAAATGACAGTTTTACATTACCCATGCCACCCCTCCCTCAATGTCAGGTGGCATAGCATAGAGAAAAATACTGTCTAATTAGAGGAAAGAGAGGAAAGTGAGCATAGACTTTGTCTTGGATCCTAGCATCAGGCCCAATACCGTAAAACCCAGACCAGGAGACTCCCAAGGCCTGTGACTCCAGGCCACTACCCACAGACTGAATGTTCAGATTTGCCTCAGTTCCAGGGAGAAAATTCTATCTCCTATGAGGCAAACTAGACTTCTGGCTTGCATCACCAACAGGCAACTACAGTGGCCCTGGGTTTAGCAGCAGACAGGCCTCAGTGACTGTGAGCTTTGAAAATGTCTAAACTCTATGCTAGCCTCAGTAGCCAAAGGATTCCAGCCCAGAAAAATGCTGGCTGTAACAGTCCCCGGCTTAGGGCACTACCCATTGCCACAACAGCAATAGTAGTCCTGGGCTCAGGGACCATGCCAGACAACCTGTTCAAATCTCTGAATAGTCTTACTGTTGAAGGGCATTTCCATACAAAGACAGCCTTTGAGGACTGGAATGACTACTGACTTCCTCAAATGTGCAGACATCAATGCATGATCACACGGATCAAAAACAAATCACAGAAACATGATTACCAAACAGAAAAATGCAGATGCCAGTCGATAAACCTAAGACATAGGGATTTATGAACTGTTTGAAAAGAAATTCAAAATAATTTTTAAAAGAAAGCTCAGTGAAATTCAAGAAAATATAGAAAAACAACTTAATAAATAGAGAACAATATATTACCAGAAAAATAATTTAATAGAGATTAAAATAATAATAAAATTAAACAGAAATCTCAGAGCATAAACATAAAATGAACAAAATGAAAAATGCAATAGAGAACATCAGTGGCAGAATTGATCAGGTAGAAGAAAAGATCTGTGAACTTCAAGACAGGTTATTTGAATCTATACAGTTTGATAAGAAAAATAATAAAAAGGAATGTAAAAAACTTATGAAACTTATAGTACCATCAAGAATTCAAATATTTAAGTCAAAGTCATCAAGAAAAACAAAGGACCAGAAAGTTTAAAAACATAATAGCAGAAAAATTTCCCAACACGGAGAAAAATATAATTATCCAAGTACAGTAAGGCCAAAGGTCTCTAATAAGGCTACCTAAAGACACATTATAATCAAATTGTCAATGATCAAAAACAGTGAAAGGGTACTGAAAGCAGCAAGCAAAAAGCAAATAACACGTAAGGGAGTTCGAATAGACCTAAAGGCAGACTTCTCAGCAGAATGCATACAGGCTAGGAGAGAATAAGAGAAACGCATACAGGCTAGGAGAGAATAAGATGAAATATTCAAAGTGCTGAGGAAAAAACAAAAACAAAAACAAAACTGCCAACCGAGAATCCTAAATTCAGCAAAACTATCTTCCAGAAATAAAGGAGAGATAAAAAATACTTTCCCAAACAAACAAAAGCTGAGAGAGTTCATCACCATCAGATATGACTTAAAAGAAATGCTTAAAAGATTCTTTTTCATGCTATGAAAAGAGTGCTAATGAAATGTAAAACTCACTAGTAAAAGTAAGTACATACTAAAATTCAGAATACTCTAATACTGTCATGGTGGTATGTAAATCATATCTGTAGTATGAAAGTTTTAAAGACAAAAGTATTACCAATAATTTTAGCTACAATAATGTGTCAGGAAGGATGCATTATAAAAATATGTAAATTTTGACATCAGAAATTCAAAATTTGGGGGACAGAGTGAAGTAAAAGTGTAGAGTTGTTCTTTGCATGTGGGATCAAAGTTAAGTTGTCATCAGCTTAGAATAACCTATTACAACTAAAAGATTTTTTTTGTAAACCTTATGGTAACCACAATGTAAAAATCTATAGTAGATACACAAAAATAAAAAGCAAAAAATCCAAACATAACACTAGAGAAAATCATGTAATTACAAAGGAATTTAGTAAGAAAGGAAGAAAGGAACAAAGGATTTACAAAACAACTAGATAATAATAAAATGGCGGTAGTAAACCTGTACCTATCAATAATTATTCTGAATATAAATGGATTAAATTCTCTAATCAAAAAACTTATAGTGGCTGAATGGAATGAAAAAATATTCAACTCTGTAATATCTACAAGCGACTCACTTCAACTTTAAGGACAAGAACACACACAGATTGAAAGTGAAAGGATTATAAAAGACATTCTATGTAAATTGTAACCAAAAGAGAGAGACAGTAGCTACGCTTATGTAAGATAAAATAGATATTAAATTGAAAACTGCAAAAGAAACAAAGTCATCATATAATAATAAAGTGGCAAATTCAGCAAAATAATATACAATAGTAAATATATATGTACCCAACATATATGAATAGATCATCCAGACAGAAAATCCATGAGAAAACATCAAACTTGAAACACACTGTAAACCAAATGCACCTAACAGACATATACAGAACATGCTATCCAACAACTGCAGAATACAAATTCTTCTCAAGTACACATGAACATTCTCTAGGATAGATCATATGTTACATCACAAAACAAGTCTTAATGAATTCAAGAAGGTTGAAATTTTACCGAGCTTGCTTACAAGCAGTCTTACTGCTGAGTATATCCCAAAGAAAGGAAACCAGTACATCAAAGAGATACCTGTACTTCCATGTTTATTGCAGCACTATTTGTAATAGCCAATTGAAATATTACCAAGTATAAAACTAGAAACTAATATAGCTAAAGAAACTTCTGGAAACTTTCAAATGCATGGAAATCAAACAATCCTGAACAACCAGGCCAATGAAGAAGTTAAAAGTTAAATTTAAAAATATCTTATGCCAAATGAAAGTATAAAAAACAGCACACCAAAACTCATGGGATGCAACAGAAACAGTTAAAAGAGAAATTTATAGCAATAAATGTTCTATGCTTTGAATATTTGGTCCCTTCAAAACTCATGCCTAAATGTTGTCCCCAATGTGGCAACATTGTGAAGGATTCTTTACGAAGTGATTGAGTCCTAAGTGTTCTGCCCTCAGGAATGGATTAATCTATTTATAGATTAATGTACTGATGGGTTAATGAATTAATGGTTTATCATGAAAGTGGAATTGGTGACTTTATAAGAGGAAGAGACACCTGAGCTAGCATGCTCACCCCTCTCACTGTGATGCCCTACATCACCTCTGGACTCTGCAGATAGTATTCACTAGAAAAAAAGGCCTTCACCAGATCTACCCTTTTGACCTGGGACTTTCTAACTTCCTGAAATGTGAGAAAAAAAATCATTTTCTTTATAAATTATCCAGTTTCTAGTATCCTGTTATAATTAATGGGAAATGACAAAGACAAAATGCCTACATCATAAAAGAAAAAAATTGTATAAACAATGTAATGGTGTTCCTCAAGGAACTAGAAAAAATAAGAACAAACTAAATGCCAAATTATTAGAAGTAATAAAGTAATAAAGATCAGAGCAGAAATGAATGCAATTGGAGACTAAAATAATGATGAAAAAAAATCAAGGAAACAAAGAGATGGTGTTTTGAAAAGACAAAATTGACAAACTTTTAGCTATACTAAGACAAAAAGAGGGAAGACTCATATAGGTAAAATCAGAAATAAAAAGAAGACTTTTTCATCTAATACCTCAGCAGCATGAAAGAACCAAAGAGAATATGATGAACAATTAAACACCAGCAAATTGAATAATCTAGAAGAAATTGATGATTTTGTTAACACATAATGTACCAAGATTGAATTACAAAGCAGTAAGGAATCTGAACAGAACAATAATAGCACTTAATCAGTAATAAAAATTATCTCATCAAAGAAAAATCCACAATGAGATGGATTCACGTCTGAATTCTATGAAATATTTAAGAGACAACTAAAATCATTCTTTTCAAATTATTTCATAATTTTAAAGATAAGAAAATACTTCCAAACTCATTTTATAAGGTCAGCATTACCCTGGTAAACAATGTCAATGACACTACAAAACAAAATAAAATGAAACAAACCAGAAAAACAACAACAACAACAAAATAACCATTACAGGCCAATATCCCTAATGAATATGGAAGCAAAACTCCTTATATCAGCAAACAGAAATTAACAACACATCAAAAATATAACTATTCTAGTAGTTTGGTAGTTTCAGGTCCTTAATTTAAATCTTTAATCCATTTTTATTTGATTTTTGTATATGAGAAGAAATAGGGGTCTAGTTTTATTTTTCTGCATAGGGATGGATATTCAGTTTTTCCAGCAATATTTATTGAACGTGCTTTCTTTTTCCCAGAATTTGTATTTGGCACCTTTACCAAAAACAAGTTGATTGTAAATGCATGGGTTTATTCCTGGGATCTCTATTCTGTTCCATTAGTCTATATGTTTGTTTTTATGCTAGTACAGTGCTCTTTTGGTTAACATAATTTTATAGCATAATTTGAAGTCTAGTAGTGTGATGCCTATAATTTTGTTCTTTTTACTCAGTATGGTTTGGCTGTTCTGAGTCTTTTGTTGATCCATATACATTTTAGGATTATTTAATCTATTTATATGAAAAATGTTCTTGGTGTTTTGATAGCAATTGCATTGAATCTGTACATTGCTTTGATTAACATGAACATTTTAACAATATTGATTCTTTACATTGAAGAAACACTCCAAGACATTGGTTTGGGCAAAAATTTATTCAGTAACACTTCAAAATTACAGACAACCAAGCAAAACTGGACGAATGGAATTGTATCAAGCTAAAAAGCTTCTTCACACCAAAGGAAACAATAAGTGAAGGGAAAACTCACAGAATGAGAGAAAATATTTCCCAACAACCCATCTGACAAGTGATTAAAAACCAGAATATATAAGGAACTCAACTCCATAGGAAATAAAAATAATCTGACATTTTTCAAAATAAGAAATTGATATGTCCAAAATTTATATGAGAAAATTGCCAACATCACTAATTATCAGAGAAATGCAAATCAAAACTACAATGCGCTATGATCTCATGCCACTTAAAATGGCTTTCACAAAAAAGACAGGCAATAACCAATGCTAGCAAGGATGTAAAGGAAAACCCTTCCACGTTTTGGTTGGAAGGTAAATTAGTACAACCAGTATGGAGAACAGTATCAAGGTTCTTTTAAAAATGAAAAATATAGGCCGGGCGCGGTGGCTCACGCCTGTAATCCCAGCACTTTGGGAGGCCGAGGCGGGTGGATCATGAGGTCGGGAGATCGAGACCATCCTGGCTAACAAGGTGAAACCCCGTCTCTACTAAAAATACAAAAAATTAGCCGGGCGCGGTGGCGGGCGCCTGTAGTCCCAGCTACTCGGGAGGCTGAGGCAGGAGAATGGCGTGAACCCGGGAAGCGGAGCTTGCAGTGAGCCGAGATTGCGCCACTGCAGTCCGCAGTCCGGCCTGGGCGACAGAGCGAGACTCCGTCTCAAAAAAAAAAAAAAAAAAAATGAAAAATATAACTACCGTATGATCCAGCAATCTTACTGCTGAGTATATCCCAAAGAAAGGAAAGCAGCATATTGAAGAGATATCTGTACTTCCATGTTTGTTGCAGCACTATTCATAATAGCCAAGATATGGAATCAGTTAGTGTGCATCAACACAATGAAGTACTGTTCAGCCGTAAAAGGAATGAGATCTTGTCATTTGCAACCACATGGATGGAACTGGAGGTAAGTGAAATAATCCATTTGTAAAAGGACAAATATCACATGCTCTCACTGATACATGAGAGCTAAAAAATAAACAAACAAAAAAAAGAATATAAAAACAAAAACCAAAAAAACCGAACTCATAAAAATAGAGAGTAGAATGATGGATACCAGTCACTAGAATGGGTAGTGGGGAGGTAGAGATAATGAAAGGATGGTTAATGGGTACAAAAATGCAGAAATGAGATCTCATGTTTGTTAGCACAATAGAGCAAATATAGTTTTGCTATATATATACAACAATAATTATTGTATATTTCAAAATAAATAAAAGAGTGGAATTGGAATGTTTCTAACAAAAAGAAATACATGCTTGAATTGCTAGATATTGCAATTACCCTGATTTGATCATTACACATTGTATGCTTCTATCAAAATATCACATGTACCCAATACATAGGTGCAACTATTATGTATCCATAATTATTAATGATAAAGATTTGAAAACAAAAGAACATTCACCATGATCAAGTGAGGTTCATCCTTGTGATTCAGGAATCATTTGACCTATACAAATTAGTAAATGTGATACACCATATTAATAGAATGAGGAACAAAATCATATGATCATTTTAATAGATGCAGAAAAAAATTGACAAAATTCAACATTCTTTCAAAATTAAAAAAAGCTTTCAACCAAGTAGGTATACAAGAATTGTACCTCAAGACAATAAAGGCTATGTATAGCAAACCCTGTGCTAACATCATACTCAATGGGGAAAAATTGAAATCTTTTCCACTAAGATCTGGAAAATGACAAGGATCTCCACTCTCACCACTTCTATTCAATGTACTATAAAGGTCCTAGCCAGAACAATTAGGCAAGAGAAATAAATAAAAGGCATCCATATTGGAAAGGAAAAATTTTAATTGTCCCTGGTTGCCAAAAATGTGATTTTATATAGAGAAAACCTAGAGACTCTACCAAAAAATACTATTGGAACTAGTTTTCATGTTCAGTAAAGTTTCAGGCTACAAAATCAACATACAAAAATCAATAGTATTTCTATAAACTAACGTGAACTATGTGAAAAAGAAATCTAGATGACAGTCCCATTTATTATAATGTCAACATGGATAAAATATTTAGAAATATATTTATCCAAGGATATAAAAGATGATCTACTTTCAGATATCTGTCTGAACATTATGAAAACATTGATGAAAGAGATTGAAGAACATACAAATAAATAAAAAGATACCTTGTGTTCATGGATAGTGGTTTTCAGCTATCCATATTACTCCAAATTATCTGTAGATTCAATATAATCCTTATCAAAATATCAGTGATATTGTTCATAGAAGCAGAAGAAAATAACCTTTGTGTGAAACCATAAAAGTTTCCTAATAACCAAAATGATCTTGAGCAAAAGGGATGAAGCTGAAGCCATCGCACTACCAGACTTCATAATATATTAAAAGCTATATTAACCAAAACTGCATGGTACTTACATAAAAACAGACACATTGACCCATGGAACAGACCACAGAGACCAGAAATAACTCCATGTATTTATAGCCAATGTATTTTCAACAAGGTGCCAAAAATACACAATGGGGAAAGGACAGTTTTTCCAATAAATGGTTCTGGGAACACTGGATATCCATATGCAGAAGAATGAAAATAGGCCTTTATATCTCATCATATACAAACATCAACTCAAAATGGATTAAAGATTTAAATCTCAGCCCTGAAATTATGAAACCTCTAGAATGAAACATGAGGGAAATACTATGTTTCATTCTAGAGGTTTCATAGTTTCAGAGCTGAGATTTAACATTGATCAAGAGATCTAACATTGATCAGGGCAATGTTTTTTTATATCAAACAGAGACAACAAAAGCAAAAATAGGTAAATGGGATTACATTAAACTAAAAAACTTTTGTACAGCAAAGGAAACAATCAACAGAATTAATAAACAACCTACAGAATGGGAGAAATTATTTTCAAGCCATAGGTTTGATAAGGGGTTAATATCCAAAATATAGAAGAAACACAAGTCAATAGTGAAAAAGCAACCTGATTTTAAAAAATGGGAAAAAGGTCTGAATAGACATTTTTCAGAAGGCATGCAAATAGCCAACAGGTATATAAAAAACATTCAACATTACTAATCATCAAGGATATGAAAAATCAAAACCACTATGAGGTATCACCTCACACATATTAGAATGGCTAATATCAGAAAGACAATAAATAAGTGTTGATGACGGTAGAAGAAGGAACCCTTGTACAATGTTGGTGGGAATGTAAATTTGTACGGTGATTATGGAAACTGTATAAAGTTTCCTCAAAAAATTAAAAATAGAACTATTGTATTATTCAGCAATCCCACTGCTGAGTTTACATGCAAACAAAATAAAAATCAACATGTCAAAAAGATACCTACATTTTCATGTTTATTGCAGCATTATTCAGAATAGCTAAGATATGGAAGCAACTTAATATCTATCAACAAAGGAACTGTTAAAGAAAATGTGGTATATACACTCTATGGAATGTTCTTCAACAGTAAAAAAATAAATAAATAAAATAAAATAAAATTTTGACTTTTGTGACAAAATGGATGAATCCCAGGACATTACGTTAAATAAAATTGCAAGACACAGAAAGATAAATGTGGCATTCTATCATTTATATGTTGAATTTTAAAATGTTAATCTCATAGAGGTAGATAGTAGAATGGTTATTACCAGAGTCTGGGGTGATAGGGGTGGTAAAGTGTTGAGGAGATATTGGTCATGGGATATAAAATTACAGTTAGATGGAAGGAATAAGCTTAAGAGATCTATTGTATAGCATATTTACTATAGTTGTTGACAATATATTATATACTTAAAAAATGCTAAGAGAGTGGATGTCATATCTTCTCAACGAAAATAATAACTATGTGAGGTAATGCTCATTTTAATTAGCTATGTTTAATGATTCCACAATGTGTATACACTCCATGGTGCATATGATAAATACGTACAATTTCATCTGTCAATATAAAATAAATACATTTGAAATAAATAAAGACAATACCAACTTTACTGTTTGTGTGAATTAAATAAAATAATATCTTAAAAATTCAGGGTCCCGGCAGCAGAGTAGTGAGATATCTATAGGTATCTCACTAGTATATATATAGATAGATAGATAGATATATTTGTGTGTGTGTGTGTGTGATTATGATTCATCTGATATGGATAAATGGAACTTTCAAAACCAGAAACTACTTCAGCTTGCCTGTAAAACCTTTCCAAAGATTTTTTCTCTGCTGTTATTGTTCCCTGACTCTTAAAATTATTATATGTTACTGTTTGAAGAACAATTTGCCATCTGCCATGTTTAGATATGGAAACTAATTGATAATGAATGGGCTGAAGTTCATAGGACTATTGAGAATACCTTGAAGTCAGAGTCTTTGTGATAACCTCTTTTTCATATCTGTGACTGATCACTCTTTTCTATGTTCACATATTGCTTCATCTGATTGTTGTAAAAAATACAGAATTTTGTTTTATAATTTATAAAATAATTACAAAGCTAAACACTTCAAAAATTACCCAATTCTTCTGAAGAAAATTCAAAGTCTGAACTAAATTAGAGAAGAATGTTAAATCTGCTACACTAGAATTTCCTACCTGCATACAAAATGAGACTTAAAATCTTGACGAGGTTTAGATACCTAAATGTGGAACTTACCCATTATCAGGAAATATACTCCTTTTTGCCTTCACCAGTTACTTGCATGCTGACAGTATGATGTCTGTGTTAAATTATGTCATTTGTTCATCTTTTTGAAACAAAATTAGTGCTGAGTGATAAGAATGTAAAAGATTATCCTCTGGTGTGAGAATAGCAATAATTCTCTGAGTGACATTATTCTAATGTAAATGTTTTGCTCAATTGCAAGAGATAGCACATCTTTATTTATTGGTGGTTGCATTGAGTAAATTCACTTAAATATTAATCTGATTCCAAAAGGTAGAATTATCTAAACACTCAAGGATCATCTTTTTAGACTTTCCCTAAGATGCACATGTATCATTATATCGCATTTTCCTGCACCTCCTATTTATTGTTTTTAGATGCGAGAATAAAGATCATCATCTACACACAGCACAGTTAATAGATTTTTAACTATTTAAAAATCACTGACACATAAATGGAGAAAACTAAATGAAACTAAATTAAAAGATTGTGGATATCATCACATTTAACCTTTGAAGCTCACAGACCTTCTTTTCATACAATGTTACAATTGGCTTAATCCTACCAATTATTTACTTCCACAAATAACTTATTCTCCTTGAAGCTCTCCATGATTCTTCAGTTCAAATACTGTTCTGTGACCACTGGAACTTTAGGCCTCTATTTAACTATTGAATCATGATTTGTTTAATGTGTGCATATTTTATCTCCATTATAAGTTATATGATTTTCTTAATATATGTATGAATCAAAAACTAGTTAATGATCTCTCCATATGTCTATCTCTGTTTTTATTAAAATACGGTGAGCTAAAGTGAAATAACTGAGATCCTTCTTTTTATTATGTTGTCTTTATTTCCTTTTCCCAATAATTGTAATAATTTTTCTATACTTTCCTAATTTAACTTTGTACATATTTGATTAGAACATTGCAAGCATTTCTCAAAGTAACGTATTGGCAAAGCAGCCAGAACTAGCTGGTTGGCTACACAGTGTTGCCAAAAAACCACTTATTTTGATTTAAGATGATCTCCATGCTCCAGTTTCTAAATCCAAATGCTACATTTCTGGGAACATAAAAGCATTTGCCACCATTGACAATTTATTTTACCCAAAGGAAAGTAGCCACAATATAATCATACATTCCTTTTGGAAAAAAAAAAAGACTAAGATGTTTCAGAGATCAAAAGCTCAAAAGACCAGGATATCCATTGTCATACTTTATAAAATTTCTGGGTAGTAAATGACTAACTTTTCTGTTAATGAAAAGTTTACCTGAACTAAAACTTTACTCCAAAGTACAGCACAATTAATAAAACACTGAGAGAATTTTAGAAGTCATTTTAAAAGGTCCATCTTAGAAGATACAGGTGGAAATCAATTAATACTTTTTTGGTACTGGCAATATAGTTTTCTTGGCATAATATATTTCATCAGAAATTGCCAAGGTTTTTAAGTATGCTAGTATCTAATTAAAAAAAAGAAAAAAGGTAAATATTCTCCAATAAATAGAATCATATCAGGAAAAAAAACTTGAAATATAAAGTATTTTTTAAAATGTAAATAAACATCCATTTCTTCAAGTCTAGTAATGCATGTTTTCTCTTAAACTATTACTGAACTATGAGCCTAATAATTCAAAAGTATTCAAGATCTCAAATGTACACTTTTGCCAATAGTAGCTTATTATTAGTTTATGAATCATAGTTGCTTTCTGTTTACTTTTGTTTATTTACTATAAATATTTTTTCTATATGATGTTACTATTCAGACTAGAGAGAGCAGGCTCATTTTAGTTTATTTTTTAATCAAAAGCTTGAGTGTGTACCAGAGTCACTTGGAGAATGTTTTAAAAATGAATAATTATGGCATTACCCTATACCTCCAAAATAAAACTTTATGGGCAAGGCAAAAGGATCTTACTTATAAAGCTCTGACTATAGATGGATTATTAGAGGTTTTGGATTCCACTAACAAATGGCAAATCAATGTTACCATTGGTCTCAAGTAGTTATGAATTGTATTGTTTGTGAAGAAGCTGTCACCTGTAATCTGTAGGAACAATTTAAGTGTGAAAAATATAATGAGAGCCCATAAATAATGGCTGGGATATTATGGGAATGTACTATAGATCCTTCAGTTAGATAAAAGCATAGATGACACATTCCTGATCAAAACGTTAACAATGAAACAGAAAATGAAAAAATGAAATAAATGAATAAGAAAAATGATTTGAATGCTTCTCTATGTCATAAATTGTTAGTCAATAAATATTACATCATTAGTTTAAACAAAAATTCTAACAAGAAACCATTTGTTTTAAAGTTATTCTGATACGGTAACAAACTGATTTACTACTATATTCCTTGTAGTCATGTACTGATACGTTTGGATTTGTGTCACCGCCCAAATCTCATGTCTAATTAGAAGAAGGGCCTGGTAGGAGATGACTGGATTAAGGGGGTAGATTTCCCATTGCTGTTCTCATGATAGTGAGTGAGTTCTCATGATAGTGAGTGAGTTCTCATGATAGTGAGTGAGTTCTCATGAGATCTGATGGTTTAAAAGTGTATGGTACCTTCCCCTTTGTGTGCTCTCCCTCTCTCTCTCTCTCTCTCTCTCTCGTGCATATTGTAAGATATGCCTGCTTTCTCTCCACCTTCTGTCATGATTGTAAGTTTCCTGAGGCTTCCCAGTAATGCTTACTGTTAAGTCTGAGTAAATTCCCAGTAATGCTTACTGTTAAGTCTGAGTAAATTAAATTTCTTCATAAATTACCCAGTCTCAGGTACTTCTTTATAGCATTGTGAGAAATAACTAATACAGAATATTGGCACCAGGAGTGGGATATTGCTATACAGATACCTGAAAATGTGGAAGCAACTTTGGAACTGGGTAACAGGCAGAGGTTGGAACAGTCATGAGGGCTCAGAAGAAGATAGGAAGATGTGGGAAATATTGGAACTTCCTAGAGTATGGTTGTGACCTTGAATACTGATAGTGATATGGACAAAGAAGTCCAGGCTGAGGTGGAGATGAGGAACTTACTGGGAACTGGAGCAAAAGTCACTCTTGCTATGCTTTAGCAAAAAAAAAAAAAAAGCAAAACAAACAAAAAACTGGCAGTTTTGTGCCTGTGCTCTAAAGATGTGTTGATTTTTGAACTTGAAGACATGATTTAGTGTGATTTAGTGCAACTTAGTGTAACTGGTGGAAGAAATTGTTAAGCAGCAAAGTGTTGAAAATGTAGCCTTGCTGTTCCTAAAAGCCTATGCCCATTTGCATAAAGAAAGAGAAGGTCTGAAATTGCAACTCATATTTAAAAGGGAGGAAGAGTATAAGAGTTTGAAAAATTTGCAGCCCACTTATGTGGTAGAAAAGAAAAACCAATTTTCTAGGGAGAATTCAAGCTGGCAGCAGAACACATAAGTAAAGTGGAGACTAATGTTAATAACCAAGACAGTGGGGAAAATGCCTCGGAGACCTTTGCAGTAGCCCCTCCCATCACAGGCCTGGAGGCCTAGGAGGGAAACATGATTTCATGGACCAGACCCAGGAGGGTCCTGCTGCTCTTTGCAGCCTCGGGATATAGTGCGCTGGGTCCCAGCCACTCCAACTTCAGCCGTGACCAAAAGGAGGCAATGTACAGCTCTGGCTGTTGCTTTAGAGGGTGCAAACCCCAAGCCTTGTCAGCTTCCACGTGGTGTTGGGCCTGCAGGAGCACAGGGATGGAAAGTTGAGGTATGGGAACTTCCACCTAGATTTCAGAGGATATATGAAAATGCCTGGATGTCCAGGCAGAAGTCTGCTGCTAGGGCAGAGTCCTCATGGAGAACCTCTACAAGGGCAATGTAGAGGGGAAATTTGGGGTTGGAGTCCCCACGTGGAATCCCCACTGCCTAGTGGAGCTGTGAGAAGAGGGCAATTATCTTGCAGACACTAGAGTGCTAGATCCACCAGTAGCTTGCACTGTTCACCTGGAAAAGATGCAGGCACTCAATGCCAGCCTGAGAAATCAGCTGCAGGGGGTGTACACTGCAGAGGCACAGGGATGGAGCTGCACAAGGCCTAGGGAGCCCACATCTTGCATCAGTTTGCCCTCGATGTGAGACATGGAGTCAAAGGAGATTACTTTGGAACTTTAAGATTTAATGACAGTCCTGAGTGGTTTTGACTTGCATGGAGCTAGTAGCCCCTTTGTTTTGGCCAATTTCTCCCATGGGAAATGAAAGAATTTACACAATGCTTGCCTGTAACCCCATTGTATCTTGAAAGTAACTAATTTTTTTTTAATGGTCTAGGCTCACAGGCAGAAGGGACTTACCTCGCTCACATGAGGCTTTGGACTGTGAACTTTTAAGTTAATGCTGAAGTGAGTTAAGACAGGGGGACTCTTTGAGAAGGGATAATAGTATTTTGCAATGTGAGAAGCACATGAAGTTTTGGAGGCACCAGAGGCAGAATGACAGTGTTTGGATTTGTGTCCACAACCAAATCTCATGTCAAATTGGAGGTGGGGCCTGGTGGGAGGTGACTGATCATAGGGTCAGATGTCCTCCTGTCTGTTCTTATGATACTGAGTGAGTTCTCATGAGATCTGATGGTTTAAATGTGTGTGGCAATTTCCCCTTTACTTTCTCTCTCTCCTGCCACCATGGTAAGTTTTGCCTGGTTGCCTTTCACCTTCCACTATGATTGTAAGTTTCCTGGGACCCCCCCAGTCATGTTTTCTGTTAGGCCTACATAACTGTGAATAAATTGAGCCTCTTTATCAAATATATAGTTTGCAAATATATATGTATATATGCCTAGACTCTTGTGAATACAATACTCTTGTGAACACAACCAATATATTTCTGGTATGGTTCTTGTTTACAGGTACCAAGACAGACCTGATCATAAAACCAATAACAAAGAATGTCAGAAGTCTTTTACATGGAAGAAGAAAAAAATGCGAGCAAGAAGGCCTAAGAAAGGAGAGGTTTCAATAGACGGTACACTCGGTTGTTCCCTTAGACCACCTTTGTTAGTCTTCGCCTCAAAGAAAAACATTTCCACTGAAAACCACATAATCTGGTTTAACAGATTAAATATATAAACTATGATGTGCTGGGAGAACTTCAGCTTTTTTTCCTAGCACTCACCTGATCCCAGAGATCTTATTCCAACATCTTAAACAGAAGTTAATAATTCTTTATTTGATTTAGAGTTTCAGATTCACTCTAAAGATCTGAGGACATCAGTTTAATTTTTAGGCTAACCTTTTTTTTTTTTTGAGATGGAGTTTCACTCTTGTTGCCTAGGCTGGAGTGCAATGGCACAATCTCGGCTCACTGCAATCTCTGCCTCCTAGGTTCGAGAGATTCTCCTGCCTCAGCCTCCCTAGTAGCTGGGAATACAGGCGCCTGCCACCGTACCCAGCTTATTTTTTATATTTTTAGTAGAGACAGGGTTTCACTGTGTTGGCCAGGCTGGTCACGAACTCCTGACCTCAGAAGATCCACCCGCCTCGGCCTCCCAAAGTGCTGGGATTACAGGCGTGAGCCACCACGCCCAGCCTAGGCTAATCTTAAAATACAACACATAAGCAAAACCTATTTAACAAGGGCAAAACTCACAAAATGAATTTAATTTTCATTTACAGTCCATTCTTAAATTCATATCTCTAGCCCTATCATTTTCTATGAGTTGTAGATCTGTTTATTCTGGGGCCCACATGAGATTAACTGATTCTAAACCATTTGAGATTCCATCTTATGCAGGAATTAATTTTTTTCTCTCCTCCTAAAAATGATACATTATCGTTCTTCCCTAAATAAGTGATTGACACTATAAGCACAATTCCTCAAATCAAAAAATTAGGAGTCTCTATTTTGACTAATTAGTTATTAAATATGTCAATTTAATATTATCCATGTTTAATGCTTAAATATACTTGTATCTATCTTCTTTTTCCTCTCTGGCCATCATCCCATTTTTTCAGCTATTATTAGCCTCTCATCTGGACCTCTGTCAAATACACATATGATTTGACTCTACCTATGGCTTTTTTTCTTCTTACACCAATCTTCAGTGCTGACACACAGGATACAGGATGTTTTTAGATATGTTCTCTCTCTCTGGAGTACTGTTCCTTTCCTTGTTTACTTTGTTACCTCTTTTTCCTTTTTTTAGATCTCAAATAAGTTGTGACTTCCTCTGATAAATCTTTGGTAATTTCCAGTATAGTGTTAGCTAACCTCGCTTTCTGTTAGTTACCATACCACCATTTACCTCTCCTTTGTAGCAATTGATACAGGTGCAATATCATAGTTGTTTAGAATATTTTGATCAATGTTTACACCTACTATTTTATAATAAAGTCCATGAAAGAAAAGAAAAAATAAGTTGCATTTGTTAAGAATTTGTTTCCAGTTTTGATCAGTGTTATTACACTTTCTACCTTAGCAACTAACTGTTTTGGAATGAATATGTGAAGTTTTGTTGACAGGTAACAGAGAAAAACAACACTAAGAGCCACAGCCTGGCTGAGTACAATCTGCTTGTCCTTCATGTTGCAAAGAGCTGTCAGCCTGGCCCTCAATGCCTTGGTGTTCTCTTGGTGAACATAAGGCATTTCACAGAATATCATCAAACAAGGCCACTCTGTGACCATAATAGATCAATAAGAAAAAAAAAAAACAAAACTCTGTGTAATCAAGTCTGACAACTAACAACAAACATTACTATTTTCCTAAGCATAAAAATAACCAAATGATAGTTAATAGCTTGAAAGCTGTTTCTTTGCTAATTTCATTTGGCCTCACTCTAATCCTCTTTCCTTCTAGATACACATTATTGTTATTCCCAATCTAAATTTACTCTCGCTTCCGAACAACACATAAACTATAGGCAAGCTATGCTTCCTCTATCACTCCCAAATCACCTACCACAAGTTTAAATCTTATACATCCTTTCTAAGATTCCCTAAATGAGAAGCCTCATTATTCCCTGTGGAGTGTTTCTTACGGTCTTTGGCTGGAGAGTATTGGCAGAGGCAACTTAAAAACCTGTATGGATTTCAAACACAGTACAAATTCCACTTGTGCTTTAAGTATACTGACACACACACACACACACATATCCATATTTGAATGATACAAAACCAAATTGACTTGATGTAAAATAATAAATTAACAAGATAATAAAAACTGTCTTTATAATGTATTATACTTAAAGCATGCTAGCCTCTTACCTGCTTAACCTCATTCAATTCTTAAAACAATGGTATAAGGGAGATGTTTACCATATTTATTTTATATATGAGGAAATACAGGTTTTGCTGTAAAATCTGAAATTTTTGACACATTTGGAAATTGTATATTGACTGTCAGATTCTTGAAACAGTTTTAACTACTAAACCACATTGTATGCATACTTAAGTCATGCTTATGAATTTTCTCTTTAATCTGTGCAATTTCTATCTCATGACCAAATATCTGAAGTCTAAATAAAGTGGTATGTAAAGTGGTATAAAGAAAGTAGTGGAGAAACAACACCAAGTAATTTAAACTGCACAAATATTTATAGGATAAGTACTATTTGCTAAGTATCAAATAAAAGGTCTCAAATCTCAAGATTCTAGGATAACAATAAAAAACAAATATATAGATATTTATAATACAAGACAAAATATAATGTGTTATTAGGCAATTTTCAAGTGCTTTTACAATTCAAAAGAAAGGAGATATTTTACCTGGTCAAAGAATTTAGGGCAATTTATTTGGCAATCGTTGACTTTTAATTGAGCTTGAAAACTGCTTAGGGTTTTAATAGTGATTATATCTAGAGGAGAAATTGGGTATGGTTTTTGAATTTTCTTCTTTATAGTTCTTAAAATCTTACTGATACGATAGCTTAAGAGAGTAGTAGAATTTTTGACGGAATGAGTTAGAATAAGAATGTTTAACAAAACTGAAAGTTTTATTAGGCTAGGGATCAAAACTGTTTTGCTCACTATGGTAGCTACTACATTAAATGCATAGTGTATGGAGTACTAAATAAATAATTAAAATTATGGAAAAGAATGAATAACAGTGAGTTTGGGATGATGTGGAAGGCACTAAGGAATATTGAAGGTATAGGATAAATTTCTATAGTGGAGAGATTGGTCAGAATACATATCATGATTTTGAGGAGAAATTTGAATTTTTGCCTACGATCATTTCACTTAATAAATCATGAAAAGCCTTTGACTATTTTTAGTCAAAGTGTACAGAAATATAATAATTTCAAATATATGCCTTTTTAAATTTAAAATATATTTCAAAATATGGCTACTTGGCATACTGAGTATTTTAAGCTGAAGGAATTTGAGAAATGAACAGAAGCATGAAAGTCTCTCTGACCTTCTTCTATCAATTTCCCCTGAAGTAGGCCAGAAAAGAATTCTTTGACCTTTCTCTAAAGTGGGTCATAGACACTCATTCCAGAGGTGGTCCTCCTATATTCAGAGGAAAAGAATGTCCTTATCTCTAAAGACCACGCGATACAAAGAACAATCTGAACCAACTCAGATACACTGCTCAGTTCCCTGCGGTGTATTACCATTAGATCATTCCCTTTTGTCCTCCAATCATACTTCTACCTGATTGCTCATAAAAATATGCAGACTAATCTATTTATTTGGGTCTTCATTTCCGAAGGCTCTCATGTCCCATAAAACTGATATTTCTCTTATTATTTTATCTTTTATTATAGGTGTCTCAGCCATGAATTTGGCAACAAGTGAGAAAAAGATACACTTTTTCTCTCCTACATGTATATATGGTAAATATTTTAATAGCATAAATAGCATTACACACTCATACTGCAGTGAGCTCAATAAAAGTCAGTGAAGGATGGTGAATACTGATAACGATGGCTATGATGTTGACGAGAACATGATTAGACAGGTGTTTAATATGATAGTTTGTTAAGATCCACTTTAAATAGATTGACTTCTCAGAGACTTGCATGGATTGAGAACGTTAACTGGATGATAAATGCCTTGAGAATAAGACCCACATCTTAAGAATCCTTATAGACAGTAAAATTACGACTTGACTAATAGTCATTAAATGTAGAGGTAAATAGAATTTTTGTGAATATTAATTTCAAATCATCTCAAAGTATTCTGTGAAAATGGTGACTATTTTAGTAATAAACATTTCTTTAAGAAAACAATCTGTTTACTTAATATATAAAGTCAGTAATGTATATCATAGGAAGAATTTCTTAATTTTCATGAGTAGAGAGATTGATAACTGGAAACAGTGCTGAGAAGATATATTAATCTACAACAAGAATACTTAAATTATACAAGATTGTCAGATTTTATTTTAAAAAGAAATCAGTGATGGTCTTTCTACAAGTAATATAATTTAATTCTGAAAACAGAAAGACTGAAGATTTAAAATTTGGTAAATATTAATTAAGCAAATAATTCATATAGCTATGTTAATGACTACATAATGACAATGTTAAATTCATCTGAAAGATAAAGATCACAAATATTGATGGACCTATCAAAATTATAAAGATAAAAGTAAAATATTGATTAAAATAAGAGTGAGAAACTAAAAAGTCTACCAAAATAGCAGTGGATGATTCTCTCATGTATATCTCAGTTATTGATTATTGAACCAGAGAAGAAGGAAGAGAGAGAGCAGACAGGTGTCAGGTGGGAGAAAAAGGAGAAGGGGAAGAAAAGACATAAAGATTTAAACAACGTTCATGAGCTTAATGTGGAAGTTTAGAGTACATATGGAAATTTTATATAAATTTATTGCATAATTCTTTATATAGCAATGTAAAATTCAAATAATTTGTATTATACAGACTATATTTTCAGAGCACAATAAAATTAAATTAGAAGTTTATAATGAAAATTTAATGTAAAATATATATTTGGAATGTTAAATATATTCTATTTAACATACGAGTTAAAGAAATGATGGACTTTTAAACCATGTAGAAAGGAATTACAAAAAATCCATCACATCAAAATTTGTGTAGTAAGTGAAACTGATGATTTGAATAAAACCTAAAGCTCTGAATGTTTATACTATGAAAGAAGAATAACAGCAAATCAACAGACTGGGTTTTCAACTTAAGAATTAAGAAAGTAACAATAGAATAAATTGAAAGAAAGTAAAGGAAATGAGAAAATAATCAAAAGATCAGGAAACAGTAAACAACAAAACCAAAGTTATTTATTAAATTACAGAGTAGACATATTGATGACAAAATTGGTCCACAAAAATGATAGAAGACAGGGACAGTATAATGATTCAAAAATAGGCATAATTAAGAAGATAAAGAAAGGATACTAGAAGTAAATTTTACCAAAAAAAAAAAGGGAGAAAACTTTGTTGAATGTAAGTGACTAGTAAGAAAATATCAAGTTCTAGAGGAGTATATTCAATATGACAGCCTCTTTATAAATTCAAAACAAATGTTACATTTCTTCAGATATATATAAACATATTTAAACACATGTATATATGGTATATATGATATATTATATATACACATTAAGGTACATATAATAAAATATGTGTAGATGATAAAGCAGATTTTATATCAATTTATATGTGATATACATGGCATATGTTATATACTGTTATATATAATACAAACTTTCATATATATGATAAATTATACATATTCATTTGTGATATATGTATCCTATATTATAGATTATATATCATAACATTTACATGATAAAGCATGTATTTACATATCACATAATATATATACTTATGTATGCATATTAAACATATATACTTTTGTAAGCAATGGATTGATAAACAGAAAATTTCAGACAGTGGTTTCAGAGGAGTCAAGCAGTGGAAATACATGAGAGGCCAATAGACAGAGAACAGTGATAGGTATGGCTTTACTTCTTAGATTGTATGATAGGTAAAATACTGCAGATATATACATTACATTGCTAAATATTTTAAATATATTCTATATATGTACTCTAAATATATTAGCAAAATATATTCTGACTAATCTTCTGAACCCATAAAGAGATAATGGTACTATTTCTTACAGAAATAATGGTACTAATGAATCCCATTTGACAAAGAACTTTCAAATCCTTTATTATTTATTTATTTGTGTGAGCTGTTGTTCCGAAATGACCTTGGAGTCCACATAAGATATAAAAAACTAATTTGAATTACTGGGTGAGTCTCTGATTGCTATTGCTTATTAATTTGTCTGTAATTTATGAGAAGTGAGAAAGAATATTTAGCAATCCTGAATTGGTCAATTGGCTACAACACTACCCTTACATTATATAGTCTCCTTACTGGTAAAGTCCTTCCGGTGCTTTGTGGCTTCTCAAATAAGGTGAGTCTCAGAGTCTGTTCAAGTCTGTTATGCTGTGAAGATATATTTATATACTATATTTCTCAAGCCAAATTTTTTTTTGTTAAAATCAAAGTTAAGCTAAATTAGTTAATCTAAAGGAAAAAGGTATATAATTAGTGTATAAGAATTTGAATGGATTCAATATCAATGCACGGTAGGAAATAAAAAAGCTTAAAAAGTAGGATGATGGATTTCATGTGATTTTAAAAATCACATTTAAAATCAGGTCATCATTTAAAAATCACTTAAAATGGCATTCAAAATCAGGTCATCAAATACTTATCTGCTTATATTTGCCTTCAATTTTATTATATGTAATGCCATGGATGTCATTGATACAGTGAGCTGCTAATTCCTAGGCTAAGGTTAAATTGGAACTCACAAAGGGTTTATTTATTTTCCCTGAAATGGCTCTTTTGATCCATATAGCACTGGTTGCTCACTAAAGTATACCGACTAGATGGGAGCTATCTAGTTAATACATTGACTACTACAGTGAAATACATTAAAAGTCAAACTCACAGAAACACAGTAGGAGAGAGTTGGTTGCAAAGACTGTGGGGTGAGAACTATGGGAAGGTGTTGGTCAAGGACTGCAAACATTCAGTTATAAGATGAGTAAGTTCTTGGAGTCTAATATGCAGCATGGTGACTATAATGATAATACTAATAATAATACTTATTAATAATACTAATAATATTAATATAATTAATTAATAATACTGTATTGTATATTTAAAATTTACCAAGAGAGTAAATCGTAAGTGTCCTTACCACACATCCACAGACACATGCAAACTGGTAACTATGTATCTTGGTGGATGTGTTAGTTAATTTGAATGTGGTAAACATTATACAATGTATTTGCATATCAGAGCATCACATTGCACACCTTGACTATATATAATTTTTGTCAATTATACCTCAATAAAGCTGAGAAAAAAAAGCAATTTGTCAAACTAGCTTTGAAGGAAGACACCACAAATTCAATAGAAAGAAGGAGGAGTTTTGTAAGATTTGTCCTAAGGAAAAAACTCCCCTTTAATCTACCCGTTGGCCATTTTTAGGTCTCAATTTTATGCAGGTCCTTTGCCAGTTTTTTAGTAGGGTTATTTTATATTTTTAATTTTTTTGTTATTGAGTGGTTTGAGTTCCTTATATATTCCTTATATTTTTTTTATATATTTTGGATACTAATCCCTTATCAGATAATATATTGTTGATATTAATTCCTTATCACATAAGTGGTTGCAAATATTTTTTCCTAATCCATAAGCTACGTTTTTATTTTGTTGATGTTTCTCAGGCTGTGCAGAAGCTTTTTAGCTTGATGTAGTCCCACATGTTTATTTTTGCTTTTGTTGTCTGTGCTGTTGATGTCATATCCAAACAAATCATTGTCAAGGCCAACACTGAGAAGCATATTTTTTATTTAATTTTTAGTAGTTTTATTATTTCAGTTCATATGTTTATGCTTTTAATCCATTTTGAGTTGATCATTGCATATGGTGTAAGATAAAAATCCAGTTTCATTCTTTTCAAGTGGATATCTGATTTTCCCACTACCTTTATTCAAGAGACTATATTTTTTCCCACTGTATCTTCTTGGTGGACATGTGGAAAAGTAGTAAATCATAAATACATGTGTTTATTTTGAGGCCCTCTATTCTGTTCTATTGGTGTATTTGTCTTTTTTTTAATGTCAGTACCACACTCTTTTGATTATTATGTCTTTGTATTTAAAATTAGTGTAATTTCTCCAACTTTTTGTTTCTTGCTCAAGATTGCTTTGGCTATTCTGTCTTTAAAAATTCTATACAAATTTTATATTTTTTAAAAATGTTCTGTGAAAAGTGCCATTGCAATTTTGATGGGCTTGTATTGAATATGTAGATCATTTTGGGCTATCTGGATATTTTAACATATTAGTTCTTCCAATTTATAAAAATTGATTATCTTTCCCTTTATTTTTTTGTCCCTCAATTTATTTAATCAATGTATTATAGTTTCCAGTGTACAGGCCTTTTACATTCCTGTTTAAATTTATTTCTACATGTCTTATTCATTTACAGGACTTTTAAATTCTTGTTTAAATTTATTTCTAAATATCTTATTCATTTTGGTATTATTGTAAATAGGAATTTTGTCTTAATTTCCTTTTTTGGATAGATTATTATTGGTGTAAATAAATAGAGTTAGTTTATGTTGATTTTGAATCTTTCTACTTTGTTAAATTTATTTATTAGTTCTAACATGTTTTGTTATAGAGGCCTTAGGATATTCTATGTAGAGGATCATGTCATCTCTAAACAGGGATGGTTTTACTTTTTGGTTTTCAATTTGGATTCCTTTTATTTCTTTTTCCCCATTATATAGTTGAGCTTCTCAGATATCTCAGCTAGGAAGTTTCAGAATGCAGTTAGGATATATTCTATTCATCTTTAAAGCCTGAGTAATATATTTTCCATCATTTTGTAAGCCCAAAGATAGAAAACAAAACAAACAAACCTGAGAGTCTACAGGCCAAAAGTAGCAAAGATGTTTTCCCCATGATAACGACCTTCACCATAAGCTCTATATATATAGGAATGAAATGAGGAGCACTAACATTTATTATTTTTATTGTCAAGATATTGGACAAGGGAATCCTCAGTGTTCAGATTCTCCTTTGAAGGTGATCTATGGAAGTGTGTTTGCCTTCTGCAAATATGGTTTTTTCTAACTACTTGACATGGTCTACTAAGTTCCTAAGGTAGAGTATTTGCCTTTGTAACGATTTGAGACAGGAAATCCACACATATTCCTCTTCTTTTCATTTGTTCCTTTCTGGTTTATAAAAGAGAAGAGGGATAAAGCTTATTCAGAATCCATCTGTCACTATGTTCTTCTGTCACAGTGTCTGGTTCTTGCTTGCAACTGCTCAAGGGTGTTGATTTATTAAAAGCAAGCTGTCAATATATTTATCTACTTGCTTGCTTGCTCCTTCTTACTATTACCCTATGCCATTCTGTCATTAACAGGGAATGTTCTGCTTTTCATGTTTAATGATTATTGCTGCCCATTTTTATGTCTAAGTCTAGGGGCAAGTGTAGAAATGATAAAATGAAATGTTTGACAATTTCTGAGTCAAAAGAGCAACGTTAATTGAGGCTGTCATCTTTGACAGTGTTAAAGGTAAGAAAAGACTGATATGAGCAAGGTTATTTTACAAAAAAACTCTCTTAATATATTTTCACTTACAAAGTGTCATGTAAAATATTTATTAACATACATTTGGATGTTAGAAATTTGACTTTTAAAGTCATTTTGGGGAGAAATATACTAGACAAGAAAGGTAAGAATATTCAAGACAAATATACAGTTGCCATGAAAGCTCCATATTTTGTTACACCTATTTCTTTATTGATATCTCTTATATAAGTATAATGTAAGAATATAAATTATGATTGATTTTTTCTTTATATAGTAATGACTTAGACTCATTTAAAAAGACTAAACTAGGTTTCCACTGAAATGATTGGCATTGATATTTAAATGTATAAATTCATTCCATATTCATTCAGCAATAATTTTTATCTCATTTATCTGGTATAAGGTATATCCCAGAAGAGATATATGATGCATAGTCTTCAAAAGGTTAAAAAGTTATACACACACACATACACCCCACACATACTTATGTGTATAAAAGCATATACTCATACAAACTTCAAAATGTTCATAGAAAATAGAATCAAAAGGTAAAAATAAAAAATATATAAATTTTATTTGTCAACATAAGCTCCATCAAGTTCAAGGCACTTTTTTAAGCAATGATAACATCCACATAGCTCATCCCCAAATAATTGAGTGTCCTGGGAACTTAAGCATGTTAATGCAGGGTTGTTTTACATTATTAACTGAAGAAAAATATGTGCCTTTTTACAGATGTTTAAGATTAGAAAACAGAGAGAAATCAGACGGAGCCAAATTAAAACTGTGAGGTGGATGATTAATGATTTCCCATCAAAACTCTCACAAAATTGCATTGATTTGATGAAAGAAATAAGCAGGAGCATCTTCATGGGGAGAAGGACTCTGGTGAAGATTTCTGGGTGCTGTTGTACAACAGCTTTGGGTAACCTTCTCATAGAACTCTCCTAATAAGAATATGCTATTGTTATTTGACCCTCCAGAAAGTCAAGAAAACAAATGCCCTGAGCATCCAAAAAAAACACTGTTGCCACAGCATTTGCTCTTGACAGGTCCACTTTTGCTCTGACTGAACCAATTACACTTCTTAATAGCCATTGCTCTGATTGTACTTTGTATTCAGGATCATACTAGCAAAGCCATATTTCATCTTCTGTTACTATTCATCAA
Source organism: Homo sapiens (assembly GCF_000001405.40). Taxonomy (NCBI): domain Eukaryota; kingdom Metazoa; phylum Chordata; class Mammalia; order Primates; family Hominidae; genus Homo; species Homo sapiens. The sequence goes on along the minus strand of NC_000005.10, from coordinate 99,723,650 downwards.
ATAAATAATTCAGATCTTGATCCCAGTTGTTTAAAATTTTCATTGAAATCTCTAATCTTGTCAGTAGCTGATCTGGGCACAAATATTTTAGTGCCCATTGAGTTTGAAAATTTGTTAAACTTATTTTTCCGTTGGAATTATGTAAGCTGAACCAACTGAGATTTCTATGGTGTTGGCCATTGTGTGTACTTTTAATCATTGGTATTCTTCATTAGGGCATTAACCTTAACAAGACTAATTTTTTCTTTGCAGATTGATGTGAAGGCTGCTGCAGCATTCATCTTCAACATCATCTCATTCCTTTTCAGAATGAGTTATCCATTTGTGAACTGCTGAGTTCTTTGGGGCATTGTCTTCATAAACTTTTCATAAACCATCAAAGATTTCACCATCATTCAACCCAAGCTTTGCCGTAAGTTTAATGTTTGTTGTTGCTTCAATTTTAGCACAATTCATATTGTTCTGATAGGACTCTTTTCAAACTGATTTCTTATCCTTTTTAATCCCTCAAACTAGATTCTACTGACATGTATTATAACAAGTTAATATTTATTTATATATTTTAACAATTATTTAAAAATTTATTCATAAAAGTTAGAATTTATTTTGGTACAAACCTTTTTGAAATCCATGCACAATTTTTTACTAATATACATTTTCCACAAACTGTTGTGTGTGTGAAATGGTAGGATAAATTAGAATGTTTAAATTTAAGTATGTATTAAGATACTGGCATTCATAGCAGATAGACCAATACATAGCAGAATGCCAAACTCATTAAGGAGGTAGTTCAGAAGAGAACAACAAACACAAAAATAAAACATTTTCTAAGTTTGTACTATGAGATATGAAAGAAATAATCCTTTTTGTGAAATGTCATCTCAAGGGAAAATATTGGTATTCTTTGAAAAATGGTTATTCTTTACATAGAATACCTTGTTGTTTATCTAGTTTGACCAAAAGAAATGAAACAAAAATCAATAATTCATTGTATATTTTACTTCATGTTATTTGTCTAGAGCAACAGCTTATTTATTAGAATATTGGTATTTGGTTAAAATTTTGAAAACAGATAATTTTGGGCTCCTGGTGATCTAACAGTATAAATTCCTAGGCCTTTATGTCCGAACTAGGACAGAAATATTTCTTTCTCTAGGTAAGATAAAGTAAGTATGAGTGAAGCTATATATTAAACGTATTATTTTGAATTGCAGAAGAGAGATGTTTAATCTACACTTAAGGTGAAACATTTTATAAGAGGAAGGGTTGAGGAGAGTAAACTAAATAATTGAGAATAAGGGTAAGGATATGTATTAGCTTTTGTGGATAATGGCACATGTAGTCAAGGAAGAAAAAGGTAAAGATGTATTAATTTATTTATATTATTTTTATTCCAGACTATGTTCTCAACAATTTCCCATACCCCACCTTTTTATTTTGACAGCTAGGCTAGATATTTTCATTGTTAATATATTAAAGAAGCTTGTTTGACATGTAAACAAATGTTCCTATTATATGGGGCCATAGATTTAAAAAAAAATCATGCTTATAGAGCACCTTCGCTTGAACAGTGTTCAAAATGTAGGTAGATTTTTTAAAGTGGATTACAATACAAACTGCACAACAAACAAAAGCGCAGTTTGTTTTTAACTGCAAAAGGCAAATAAATGATAAAATGTTGTGATGTTTCCACTAATCAAAACTCGCAGAGGCAGCATGTAATCTCAGTGCCTTATGATTTCAACATGCAGTTCTAAATTGGGTAGTTCACAAACACTAATGTTATCCAGTAATTTATGTCTTCTCTCTCCCATATTTATGTCTTCTCTCTCCCATTAGTTGGTTATATGTCTGGCTGTAATACAAGAAGCCAATATAGATGTCCATATTGTAAGATTACTGATAGCCTTGTCTTGTTTACAGAGTGAAGCATTGATCAGATTCAGCCTCTAGGTCCATAGGGTGACTCATATCAGTAAATCCATTTGCTGACAAAGTTCTTAACAAGGTAAATATGTGCTTTAGAAGTCAAGGGAAAAGTGAGCTGAAAAAAAAAAACAGGCAATTTTAGGTAGGCTTACAGGAAATCTATGCCCCATCAGAATACAGATATTTTTACTGCCTATTGTAGTGATTTCTACATTTATACTATCAAGGGCACCTTGCATTAACATCCCATGAATCTCAGTTTTAGAAAAGAAAATTAAACTATAATACTAACTAAACAATGTTTTCTAAATGTCTTTAATAAAAAGAGAGCACCGAATAACTAGGTTTCCCATATTAATTAATAAATTATAACCAAAATGAAAGAAGCCTCATATTTAAGATAGCATGTTTAGCCTATTAATTATTGGTTCTAGTATATATCTGTCCACTTTTTGTTTATTTGATTTTGTTTTTAATACAAATTTTTCTACGTGGCTTAGTATGGTTTTAAAATTTAAAATTTCTTCACTTTAATAAATGCTACAATCTTACAAAAAACTCAGGATTATCTAAAATAACCAAGGTATGGAAACAACCTAATGCTCATCTATGAATGAATGGATAAAGAAAATGTGGTATAAACACAAACACACACACAATGGAAAGTTAATCAGTCTTTAAAAATATGGAGACCCATTTGCTAGAACATGAATGGATCTAGAGGACATTATATTAAGTTAAATAAGGCAGACACAGAAAGAAAACTATTGCTTGATATCACTGACATGTGGAATTACAAAAAAGAGCTGAAATACACAGAGATAGAGAATAAAACAGTGGTTACCATCAGTGGGAGGGGGAGAAGAAATGGGGAGATATAGGTCAGAGGATATCAAATAGTGGAAATACAGGATAAACAACTCTAGAGATCTAATGCACAATATGAGAACAAAAAAGGGTTTTTTTTAACTTTTATTTTAGGTTTGGGGGTACATGTGAAGGTTTGTTACACAGGTAAACACGTGTCATGAAGGTTTGTTGTACATATTATGTCATCACCCAGGTGTTAAGCCCAGTACCCAATAGCTATCTTTTCTGCTCCTCTCCTTCCTCCCACTCTTCTGCCTCAAGTAGGTCCCAGTGTCTGTCATTTCCCTCTTTGGGTTCATAAGCTCTTATCATTTAGCTCCCACTTTTAGGTGAGAATATGCGGTGTTTGGTTTTCTGTTCCTGGAGAATGAAAGTTAATAAAATTCTGTGGCTACTAGTTTACATTCACATGTATATACACTCGAGATACAACAACAAAAAAAGGCAACAAAAATAATGGGGAGAGGAACAACATAAACTGTTTTGAGTAATCATACTATTATGACTTGCTGCCTTCTCTTATAAATTAAAACAGAGTTTGTGATAGAATCTGCTTTTGGTTTGTTATGTTGAGTGATACACAGTGTGTCAAAACAAAGTTACACAAAAAGTTCCTGTGAAGTACCAGCTCATCACTAACAAAAAGCTAACAGCAGGATGCTGAAATGCAAGGAACATTGCTGTAGTCACGGAAAGTTCTAAGCTACTTATCTGGTTCAGCTCCTTACTAATTTTAAGATCTTCAGCTTCCTACTTAAATGTTCTAAAGTTTCTTTTTACTCATTTAATATGGTGATAACAAGACCTTTCTACTTCCATAAATTGCTGCGAAAATTAAATGAGGAAATGTATTTGAAAGTTGTTTGAAAGTAGTTTTGCTGAAGATGTAAGGTATCTTTATTAAGGAAAGGGATAGCAAAACAATAAGTGGAGAACAACAAAATACTAGTAATTTTCAGGAAAATTAAATTAAATTGATGTTTTTCAGGTGAGGAGGAAGACCTGTGGCATTTGTTTGGAATTTTTTTTTTTTTTTGGAGCTGAATAGCAAAATGTGGATCTACAAATAAATAAGAATAGCAAATTTTCAATGCCTCAAGTCTTTCTGATAAACCAGAAGTACTAACTTGCATGTAAAATTTTGACATAAAAACCATTTTAAGAGCCAGTCCCAATTAAATCAGTGCTGCTCTTCTCAGTGAGATCTCTGTGTGAAGAACTCTCATGAAGTGCTTTATTACTGCATATGTTTTACATACAAAATGGTTCACATACAGTATCTGTTTGTTTCAATGCATTCATAAACACACACACACACACACACACACACAGTGTGCTTATCTAATCATTTTACAGAAGATCCCTATATTTAAGTTGTCATTTTGTAAGAGTTTTATGTTTTCGCTTTTGCTTTTTTCAAAGCTTTCAACAACTGCCTAAGCTTTGAAGCATTTTGTGTGTGTGTGTGTGTGTGTGTGTGTGTGTGTGTCTGTGTGTGTGTGAGATCTTAAATAAGGGATTTGTATTTCTTCACCAATTACCTCTTCATCGATCTCCATTTGCTTACATACCTCCTATATTGCCTTGTTCTGGGCATGGAAAAATATTTATTTCGATGGTTTTCACTTATAATGCATTCTCACTCTAAGCGATTCTAATAAAGCAATCAAAGTTTACAATCCTGAGTATTAGTATTTGACCCTATGAAAGCATAAATTTTGCCTTGTATCTTTAAGAATTTTTACCTTTTGTGTAATGAGCTATCAGCATTGTTTACCTATAAATTAAAAAATAAAATATTATTTGTTTTCCTATGAAGTTAGTCTATATTTCTGACATAGTTTTAATCTCTTAACATAAATATATTTGTATACTCTTACTATAGTTTTAAAATTGTGTTCATATAAATGGTTTCATTTCCTTTCTACTTGAAACTTGTTTGTATCCATAAGTGACATCTGCATTGTGGGCCATGTTCCTAGTGTAAACTGAATACATCCAAATGATTTCCTTTCTTCTTAAATTTGTGTCACTCATATTGACAGATCAAACATATTAATTATTGGAACATTCATGTAAAGTAAAGATTACGTTTATACTTTAATGTGGAATATTTCAAAATTGCACCTCTAAGAAATATCTTGGATATCTGCATATAGTAGACATTTTCTATAATGTCTGTGCTTGGATGACTTTCCCAGAAGAAGCTAATAACTTTACAAATAACACCACCAATTAGAATAATATACATACACAGTAAATCACAAACAGCTGGTTTTTCTGCAATTTATCCAAATGTATTTGTCTCATCCTAATTACTCTCTGATAGACTTCCCATTTTAAAAGATTTAGTTTTCTTGTTCTCTTTTATAAATATATATATTTATACAGTATCCAACTCTGTATTTCTGCCTAAAAGCAAAGTGGAAAATTATGGTTATCTTCATCTTTGGTAAAGAAATTAATGAGAAAAATAATTCAGCCTTTTTATATTGAGTATATATAAATTGAGGATTATTTCTTATTTGAAATAATTTTCTACTCATAAGAGTTGTAAACATAGGTTTCTTTAATGTGAATATTTTATGTAAGCATGACACATTAATCAAAAGTAAGATATTAACATTGATATAATACTTTAAACTACAGAGTTTATTCAGATTTCCTCAATTTATCCATCACTTTTCCTTTTTACTGTTCCAGGATCCATTAAAGAATACCACATTGCATTCAACCGCAGTTTACATTTGTCCTTATTTTTAAAAAGAAATGATTTAATTCCCTGTTGCAATTGATTCATATGAATGCCTGAGGTTTTTTTTAGTTTTTAATGTTTTTACTTTCATACACTGATTTTTCTATATGAAAGATGCAAGATAAATTATTTGTGCATTGTGTCTCTATGTGGTTTTGATCCATTAATTTTAAATCCCATTACAGTAAAAATAATGCAATATTGAAGATTTATGTACACAGATATTATTATTTATTATTATAAACTCTTATTTTTTTGACCAATCTCACTTTTTGCTCAAGTAGGTTAACTGATAAGGGTAAATTATCCCAGCATAATTTACCAAAAACCAAAATGATATATGTATGTATCTGCATGTATACACACACGATTGTATGCATGTGTAGGGGTGTGTGTGTGTGTGTGTGTGTGTGTGTGTGTGTGAATGTATGCTCCTGAAATTAATAGGAAATTTAAAACACTTTTATCTTGTGGAATAATAAAATATTTTCTATGATATTACCTCCTAGAAGTTCATTTGACAGATAAGAAATATTGATGCTGCAAGTAACTATACCCATAAAGAGAAAGTTTTATTATATTGGCCAATAATGTGTTAATAAATTTTACTCTTAATATGATCATTTAGCCAATTTTAATGATAACAACTTATTATTACACAAAAAGGGCTGAACTTGGGGCTAAAAAAACAAGAATTAAAACATATTCTTTCATTTACTATTTCTTTGACTTGAGATATAACAGGTGATTCAACATTTCTGAGCCTGAGATTTCTGATATCTGAAAAAGGAATTATAGTGATATTATAAAATTAATCATTACCTGTAAATCATAAAATAGTAAAAAGGAGAGAAAAAACAAATTGATTAATAAATATATTCATATACATATATATATTCAAGCAATCATTGGGCCTCAGTAATATGAACTTCATATTAAAGAATTTCTTTTATAGCAAAACTTTTATAGCAAATTAAGTAAGTTAAAGGACCCACTCATACTGGATTCATTGGTATTAGCATAACTCAAAGCAGCTGGCCTGATAGACTGACATATTGAAGTTTCAATACTGTACCAGCTAGGAGACACTTTACAAATTTGGGTGCTCTCTTGCATGGTGCTTTATATGCTTTAAATCAGTGACCAATATGTAGTGAGTTTTCTCCAACAGCTAGAATATAGGTTCAGATGACACACATGAGGGTAGAAAGAAAAATTAAATATCTCATTATTAAATCTAATGATGCATGTATAATACTTTGCCTTCTTATTTCTTTACTTAGAATTCTGCCGATTCAGAGGAGTGCTTCCTCCAGGTAACATAAAAAATGTTCCACTGAAGTGCAAATCAACACTACCACCTTGCTATCCCTAGTGGTAAAAGGTGATAGACATTTATAGATATGTATTAGAGGCAAAATTCCAAGAACTGATACCCCCAAAAAATTGTTTCACTGATTAAGGATGCAGATGGATTAAGATTGCTAATCAGATGACTCCAAGATGGAAAGATTTCCTAGATTATCCAGGCTGGCTCATTGTAGTCACCAGTGTTCTTATAAAAGTGGAAGAATGAGGTTGAAGAGTCAATCAAAGAGAAATTTGAAGATGCTGTGCTGTTAGCTTTGAAAATGGAAGAAGGGGCTACGAGGCAAGGAAGGTAGAGAGTCTCTAAAAGCTGAAAAGGGCAAGAAAATAGATTATTAGAGCCCCTAGAAGAATGCAGCCCTGCAGACACCTTGCTTTTACCCAGTGAGATTCATTTCAGATTTCTGGACTCAAAACCTATAAGATAATAAATTTGTGTTATTGTATGCTACTAAATTTGTGATAATTCATTACAACACTAGAAAAATAAAACATATGCAAAATTACTGTTTTATCGGCCCCAAATGGTTGAAATCAGCAATTTCTACAGGTTTAATTACGGATAAAATCTCATTTTTTTAGCCTCTAAATAGACGCCCCCCACTGGTAGTTACTTGTGCATCTGTTGCCATTTTATGTTTTTGTGTTTAATTTGAACTTCACTTTTAATGTAAACTAGATTGTAATTCTGGGCAACTGTATGACTTGGCATAGGGAAGTAGTCTTGGCCAAAAATGCAGAATAACAAATATCTCCAAGGTGAGATATATGATACAGAGATAGGCTGCTTTTCCCCAAAAATGTTTACCCTACATTATTTTAAGTACTTAAAATAAAATTGTAGTAGGAGTGAATTATTGCCTTTTACTCATGAAAGCGTGGTTCATTATGGTCACTAGGGAGCTAAGATTGGGGATCCATAGCCTTAAATCCCATAATGTCTCATTAGACATCATGATATCAAAGGAATTTTATAAATGCCTGGTGAATCTTCTAAATTCTCTAAGTGCCAAGAGAAGCTTCTAAAATCCTCCCAGCTAGACTGGTTTCTGATTTCTTTCAAGTTATTGCCATGATTTCAAAGAGTCACAGATTCTGAAATGTATGTCTGGAAGCACAGAGCTAAATTTTAATGTCTTTGATGTATTTGTGTTCAGTCAATAATTTAGGTCATTTTAAACAATCTTGACTCATACAAAGTCACCAGGCCTTTAGAATAACAGAGTTATAATATTTCTACAGTGCTGTTTTAATTAGCATACCTATGCAATGAAAAAAGGAAATTTCTAAATATTTTTAAAGGTACATGGTCATGTGGCTTTTGCATTTTTCAAAATTTTCAAAGAGGGATTCTTTTAATGATAAAGACTTCTAAACCATACACATGGGAGGAAAACTGCAGTAGGGAATAATGTTTCAAGTATTTTTAGCATAATTCTGGCTATTTCTTTTATACAACTTTAACTTTTTTAAGTAGATAAAATTGGCAGTTTTTCTGCCAGCTGTTCAGACATCAGGATATGGCACACAGTATCTGGGAGCCACTGCCTCCAAAAATAAAAGTAGATAAACCCAACACAGCACACAATTCAAGATATATTTACTTAATAACATACTGTCAAGATAAATTGATTTGTATGAGTTAACATAAATCACATATCATATAGTACATACAATATACATTATAGTATACAAGTATAGTATATCCATGTATATTCTAATATAATGTATATTACTATTAAATACTTTAAATGATTTTGGTCATGAAAACTACTATGTATGAGTGAAAAAGTCAATTAACTTGTTTTCCAAAAATATTAAGCTGCACATTTTAGTGAAACTGAAAATCTATTTATTATTAAAGACTTGAACTAAGAAGCTACTTTTTTTTTAATTCTCGATTAGAAACAGATTGTTGATATATTTGACCTCAGGTGATATGCACTGTGGTGAAGATTTAATTTCCATGTGTTCTACACCGCATTAGTTGGTCAAAAATATAGTATAGCTACATGAAACACACATATATATACACACACATATATGAAATATATATGTCAGTGTGTGTGTGTGTGTTTGTGTGTGCATGTGCGTGCATGTGTGTATGCTTTCTTCTGTCAAATCTTCTCTTCATTTGTGTGTTTTATCCCACTGGCTTATGCAAGCACTTTGTAAGCTTTCACAGATAACTATCTATTCTGTAGATTTCCTGGTAAAATCAGAAAATATCAGCAAACAAATCTTTCTCAAAAACACAGTGAGATTTTTTTATGAAAGTATATTTAGGGCCTACTTCCTTTCACTGAAGTATTACCCTGTATTTTCCTATTTTGTTTATTTTTTCCTTAATTTGTGAACTTTTTCACAAATTAGAAGACAAAACTAGTAATGTAATTGCTAAAGTACACTTCCAGAATCAAATATTTTTCTTCAAAGCAATAGCATTTGTAAATCTTAGATAGTATTACAATTGACTACCTTTGCAAATCGCAGTCAAATATGTCAGGGTTGTATAATAAAATGCTCACTCGTACGTTTTATCACGTTTGTAGTAACATGTAAGAATTGCGATTACATGCTTACTTTCAGGAGTCTCTTAGTATCAAGCACATAAATTTGTTTTTCAAATGCTTTATCTATTTTTAACAGAACTGTGATTGCCAGGGATTAAAAGGCTTGGAGAACATGTTTTACTATACAGCAGATAACTTTTTTTTGGAGTAACAAAACCATTCTATACCTTAATGATAGTGTATTTGTCAAAACTCAAAAACTGCACATGGAAAAGAGTAAATTTGCTGTATGTATATTTAAAAATAAAATTTAAAAAGTAGATGAAAATGGTAATATTTCAATGGAAACTTAGATCTCTGGATGATAAAGGCACATTCCACACAGTATTTATACGGCAATGTTCTTTCAAATATTAATGTAACCTAATAACAGCACATATTTTATCTGAAACAATACCCTTACATTCTTCCCTTCCTAGAGAAATAAATCTGTTATGACATTTGGCGATGCATATATTGCTATATTATTATCAGATAATTGAATTATTGAGAAGATTAGTAACATTTAGAAGACCAGAACACTATAGATTAACTCATGAATGACTAAATATTTTATATTAGCAAATGTCATATTTTATACATTTTACATGCTACTTTCTACCTGGCCTGCTCTTATTTCTTCTTATATTGAGATATCAAATTTTAAAGAAAAAAGTGGAAGAAAGAAGTAAATAAAACAGAAAAGATTTATCACACAAAGTTAATGATACTAATAGGTAAAAGTAACAAGCAAAAATGAAGGCCTACGGTAAGTTTCTTATCATAATAGTAATTATTGATGCAATAACGGACTTAGTTGAAAGGGCTATTTGATTGATCTCTTCAACAGGTAGTCTATAAAAGTTCTAAGTTATCATGTATCCTTTCTGTTTTTCTGTTGTTTTCCCCAAAGACACAATATAATAAACAACTTTGATATCTATCCTAAAATGAATATTTGACTCCAGATAATATAAGTCTCAATTTGCTTGTCAATTGGAAGAAACAAAAGAGAGATGTAAATCATTTAAAACTTCATGTCTGGGGTACTGAATTCACAGAAAGTCTCTAGTAAATTTCTCTACCTCCCTTATTTGAATTTTTAGGGATTGAAATTTTTCTTTGTATGTTTTTTTAAACATATAATAATTTTTAAATACATTGATAGCTTTTAGAAAACCAAGATGAATTATTGGGGAAGAAAAATAACAAAAGAGAGGAATATTAAATGTTCAATCAGAAGCCAGATTTCCAGTGCAGATGTGCTATTAATTATTCTTCTGACTTTGGGAACAATTGTTTGAGACTTCATTCGCCTTATTTCAAACATAAACAAATTGATGTGAATCCTCTAATGAGTGTTTTCATTTCAGAAATTCAAAGTGTCTATAATGATTTCTTGTGTTGTGAAATAAGGAAAATACTAAATTACATTTCAGATAGTAAGCTGGGTGTGCTTGTGCACTTGTAGTCCCAGCTACTCAAGAGGCTGAAGCAAGAGGATTGCTTGAGCCCAAGAGTTTGAGGCTTCAGTGAGCTATGAATGTTCCACTGTACTCCAGCTGGAGTGATATGGTTTGACTCTGTGTCTCCACCCAAAATCCATCTTTAATTGTACTCCCATAATCCCCACAATTATCTGGTGAAAGATAATTGTGATTGTCTGGTGAGATATTAAATTGAATCACAAGGGCAGTTTCTCCCATAACTGTTCTCACGGTGGTGAATAAGTCTCACAAGATCGGATGGTTTTTTCACTTGGCTCTTTTTGCCTGCTGCCATCCAAGTAAGATGTGACTTGCTCCTCCTCGCCTTGTATGGTGATTGTGAGGCCTCCCCAGCCATGTGGAAGTGTAAGTCCACTAAGCCTCTTCCTTTTCTGAATTGCCCAGTCTCAGGTATGTCTTATCAGCATCCTGAAAACAGACTAATACAGTTAATTGGTACTGGTGGAGTGGGGTGCTGCTGAAAAGATACCCAAAAAAGTGGAAGCAAATTTGACAATGGGTAACAGGCAGAAATTGGAACAGTTTGGAGGGCTCAGAAGAGGAGAGAAAAATTTGGGAAAGTTTGGAAGTCCCTAGAGACTTGTTGAATGGCTTTTACCAAAATGCTGATAATGATATGGACAAGGAAATCCAGGCTGAGGTGATCTCAGATGGAGATGAGGAACTTGCTGGGAACTGGAGCAAAGGTGACTCCTGTTATGTTTTAGCAAAGAGACTGGTGGCATTTTGCCCCTGCTCTAGAGATTTGTGGAACTTTGAACTTGAGAGAGATAATTTAGGGTACCTAGAAGAAGAAATTTATAAGCAGCAAAGCATCTGAGAGGTAACTTGGGTGCTGCTAAAGGCATTCAGTTTTATAATGGAAGCAGGGCATAAAAGTTTGGAAATTTGCAGGCTGACAATGTGATAGAAAAGAAAATCCCATTTTCTGAGGAGAAATTCAAGCCAGCTGCAGAAATTTCCATAAGTGAAGAGGAGGCAAATGTTAATCTCCAAGACAATGGTGAAAATGTCTCCTGGGCATGTCAGAGGCTTTAACAGCAGCCCTGCCAATTGCAGGTCTGGAGGCCAAGGAGGAAACAAAATTTCATGGGCTGGGCCTAGGGTCCCCATGCTGTATGCAGTCCAGACACTTGATGGCCTGTCCCAACCACTCCAGCCATGACTAAATGGGGCCAAGGTATAGCTCAGGTATAGCTCAAGGTATAGTTGTGGCTATAGAACGTGCAAGCCCCAAGCCTTGGCATCATCCACATGGTGTTGAGGCTGCAGGTGCACAGAAGTCAAGAAAAACCCTTCAAAAAATTAATGAATCCAGGAGCTGGTTTTTTGAAAGGATCAACAAAACTGATAGACCGCTAGCAAGACTAATAAAGAAGAAAAGAGAGAAGAATCAAATAGACGCAATAAAAAATGATAAAGGGGATATCACCACCAATCCCACAGAAATACAAACTACCATCAGAGAATACTACAAACCCCTCTACGCAAATAAACTAGAAAATCTAGAAGAAATGGATAAATTCCTGGACACATATGCCCTCCCAAGACTAAACCAGGAAGAAGTTGAATCTCTGAATAGTCCAATAACAGGCTCTGAAATTGTGGCAATAATCAATACCTTACCAACCAAGAAGAGTCCAGGACCAGATGGATTCACAGCCGAATTCTACCAGAGGTACAAGGAGGAACTGGTACCATTCCTTCTGAAACTATTCCAATCAATAGGAAAAGAAGGAATCCTCCCTAACTCATTTTATGAGGCCAGCATCATCCTGATACCAAAGCCGGGCAGAGACACAACCAAAAAAGAGAATTTTAGACCAATATCCTTGATGAACATTGATGCAAAAATCCTCAATAAAATACTGGCAAACCGAATCCAGCAGCACATCAAAAAGCTTATCCATCATGATCAAGTGGGCTTCATCCCTGGGATGCAAGGCTGGTTCAATATATGCAAATCAGTAAATGTAATCCAGCATATAAACAAAACCAAAGACAAAAACCACATGATTATCTCAATAGATGCAGAAAAGGCCTTTGACAAAATTCAACAACTCTTCATGCTAAAAACTCTCAATACATTAGGTATTGATGGGACATATCTCAAAATAATAAGTGTTATCTATGACAAACCCACAGCCAATACCATACTGAATGGGCAAAAACTGGAAGCATTCCCTTTGAAAACTGGCACAAGACAGGGATGCCCTCTCTCACCACTCCTATTCAACATAGTGTTGGTAGTTCTGGCCAGGGCAATTAGGCAGGAGAAGGAAATAAAGGGTATTCAATTCGGAAAAGAGGAAGTCAAATTGTCCCTGTTTGCAGATGACATGATTGTATATCTAGAAAACCCCATCATCTCAGCCCAAAATCTCCTCAAGCTGATAAGCAACTTCAGCAAAGTCTCAGGATACAAAATCAATGTGCAAAAATCACAAGCATTCTTATACACCAATAACAGACAAACGGAGAGCCAAATCATGAGTGAACTCCCATTCACAATTGCTTCAAAGAGAATAAAATACCTAGGAATCCAACTTACAAGGGATGTGAAGGACCTCTTCAAGGAGAACTACAAACCACTGCTCAATGAAATAAAAGAGGATACAAAGAAATGGAAGAACATTCCATGCTCATGGGTAGGAAGAATCAATATCATGAAAATGGCCATACTGCCCAAGGTAATTTATAGATTCAATGTCATCCCCATCAAGCTACCAATGACTTTCTTCACAGAATTGGAAAAAACTACTTTAAAGTTCATATGGAACCAAAAAAGAGCCCGCATTGCCAAGTCAATCCTAAGCCAAAAGAACAAAGCCGGAGGCATCATGCTACCTGACTTCAAACTATACTACAAGGCTACAGTAACCAAAACAGCATGGTACTGGTACCAAAACAGAGATATAGATCAATGGAACAGAACAGAGCCCTCAGAAATAATGCCGCATAGCTACAACTATCTGATCTTTGACAAACCTGAGAAAAACAAGCAATGGGGAAAGGATTCCCTATTTAATAAATGGTGCTGGGAAAACTGGCTAGCCATATGTAGAAAGCTGAAACTGGATCCCTTCCTTACACCTCATACAAAGATTAATTCAAGATGGATTAAAGACTTAAACTTTAGACCTAAAACCATAAAAACCCTAGAAGAAAACCTAGGCATTACCATTCAGGACATAGGCATGGGCAAGAACTTCATGTCTAAAACACCGAAAGCAATGGCAACAAAAGCCAAAATTGACAAATGGGATCTAGTTAAACTAAAGAGCTTGTGCACACCAAAAGAAACTACCGTCAGAGTGAACAGGCAACCTACAACATGGGAGAAAATTTTCGCAACCTACTCATCTGACAAAGGGCTAATATCCAGAATCTACAATGAACTCAAACAAATTTACAAGAAAAAAACAAACAACGCCATCCAAAAGTGAGTGAAGGACATGAACAGACACTTCTCAAAAGAAGACATTTATGCAGCCAAAAAACACATGAAAAAATGCTCACCATCACTGGCCATCAGAGAAATGCAAATCAAAACCACAATGAGATACCATCTCACACCAGTTAGAATGGCATTCATTAAAAAGTCAGGAAACAACAAGTGCTGGAGAGGATGTGGAGAAATAGGAACACTTTTACACTGTTGGTGGGACTGTAAACTAGTTCAACCATTGTGGAAGTCAGTGTGGCGATTCCTCAGGGATCTAGAACTACAAATACCATTTGACCCAGCCATCCCGTTACTGGGTATATACCCAAAGGATTATAAATCATGCTGCTATAATGACACATGCACACGTATGTTTATTGCAGCACTATTCACAAGAGCAAAGACTTGGAACCAACCCAAATGTCCAACAATGATAGACTGGATTAAGAAAATGTGGCACATATACACCATGGAATACTATGCAGCCATAAAAAATGATGAGTTCATGTCCTTTGTAGGGACATGGATGAAATTGGAAATCATCATTCTCAGTAAACTATTGCAAGGACAAAAAACCAAACACCACATGTTCTCACTCATAGGTGGGAATTGAACAATGAGAACACATGGACACAGGAAGGGGAACATCACACTCTGCGGACTGTTGTGGGGTTGGGGGAGGGGGGAGGGATAGCATTAGGAGTTATACCTAATGCTAAATGACGAGTTAATGGGTGCAGCACACCAGCATGGCACATGTATGCATATGTAACTAACCTGCACATTGTGCACATGTACCCTAAAACTTAAAGTGTAATAATAATAAAATAAAAAATAAAATAAATAAATAAATAAATAAATAAATAAATAACATTTTGTAGAAACCAAAAAAAAAAATTAAAAAGGAAGTCAGGAAGTGAGGTTTGGTAACCTCCACCCTGATTTCAGAGAATATATGATAATGCCTGGATGGCCAGGCAGAAGTTTGCTGCAGGGGCAGGGCCCTCATGGAGAACCTTGGCTAGGACAGTGCAGAAGGGAAATGTGGCATCAAGAGCCCCCATACAGAGTCCCTACTGGGGCTGTACCTAGTAGAACTGTGAGAAGAGGACCAGCCGCTGTCCTCCAGACCCCTGAATGATAGATCCACTGACAGCTTGCATCATGTACCTGGAATAACCACAGACACTCCATACCATCCTGTGAAAGCAGCCAGGAGAGAGGCTATGCCCTGCAAAGCCACAGTGGTGGAGCTGCCCAAGACCATGGGAACCCCCCTCTTGCATCAGCATGACTTGGATGTGGGACATGGAGTCAAAGGAGATCACTTTGGAGTTTTAAGATTTGACTGCCTCACTGGATTTTGGACTTGCATGGGGCCTGTACCCTCTTTGTTTTGGCCAATTCCTCCCATTTGGAATAGCTGTATTTACCCAATGCCTGCACCCTCTCCCCACTCCCCCACCCCCGTATCTAGGAAATAACTAACTTGCTTGGATTTTACAGGCTCATGAGTGGAAGGGACTTGCCTTGTCTCAGATGAGACTTTGGATTGTGGACTTTTGAGTTAACGCTGAAATAAGTTAAGACTTTGGGGAACTGTTGGTGAGGCATAATTAGTTTTGAAATATGAGGACCATGAGATTTGGGAGGGACCAGGGGTGGAATGATATGTTTTGGCTCTGTGTTCCCACCCAAATCTCATTTTTAATCATACTCCCATGATTCCCAAGTGTTGTGGGAGGGACTCAATGGGAGAATATCAAATCATGAGGCCAGTTTCTTTCATACTGTTCTCATGGTGGTAGTGAATAAGTCTCACAAGATATGATGGTTTTATAAGGAGAAACCCCTTTCTCTTGGCTCTTTTTGCCTGTGGCCATCCATGTAAGTCATGACTTGCTCCTCCTTGCCTTCTATCATGATTGTGAGGCTTCCCCAGCCATGCAGAACTGTAAGTCCATTAAACCTCTTTCTTTTGTGAATTGCTCAATCTCAGGTATGTCTTATCAGCAGCATGAAAACAGACTAATACACTGGGCGACAGAATAAGACTCTGTCTCCAAAAACCTTTTCTTTAAAGCAAATAAAAGTAAATAGAAATTCAAGGAGTCTATCATGATTTCTTGTCATTATAAAATAAACTAAATGTTAAATTATATTTCAAATTGTAAAAGATTTCCATGTAAAATTTCTTTTTATAAGAGTTGAAGTTTTCAGTTTCATGGATTTAGCAATTTTCTCTGAATAAACACAACATTATTTCTATATTACTTTTTAGCTTCTTTTGAAGAAAGAACATTAGGGGCTGGAATATACAAATATTAAAATGAAATGAGCAAGTCCCAGGCTTATGATGCTTTTACTTAAAATTTTTCAACTGTATGATAGTGCCAAAGTGACACATATTTATTAAAAACCATTCTTTGAATATCCATATAATTGTTCTGTTTTTCACTTTCAGTACCATATTCATAAATTATATGAATTATTCAACAATTTGTTATAAAATAGGGTTTCTCATATTATGTTGCCCAACTCTTTGTTAATGTAAGTGTTCTGAGCACATTTATGGTAAGTTAAGCTAAGCAATGATTTTTCACAGGATAAGTGTATTCAGTACATTTGCAACTTATGAGATTTTCAACTTAGAATGGGTTTATTGGTGATGCAGGATTTTTCTCAGCCCCTTCGCTGAACCCGTGGAAGGGGCACCCCATCTACTTGGCCTGCTGTACTCAACCCCTTGCAGGAGGGAACACATGAATGAGCGAGTGTGAGATCTGGCCACCCACTCCAGGCGCCAACATAGGAGGAAGCTCCGTGTGGGACCTGTGGCCAGACCAGGCATGTTGCCCCAAGGGGAATGTGGCAGTGCCTAGGTGAGGGTGCCGCCACACCGAAGCCCCAGAAGGGGTGTTACAGTCCTCCTTTAGTTCCACCATCTGCATATGGCAGCCTGTTAGCAGCTCAGTTGGCCCCTTGCCTCATCAAGTGGGGCAGCTGCCCTCTGATGGCAAGGACAAAGGGCGGGTATGACAGCCTTTCTGGGAACCTGTGCTCAATGGTCCTGAGCTCTTGTCCAGCATTCAAGAATAGTGAGGTCACATGAATGATATAAGGATGGTGAAGGTGGGGAATTTTATGGAATGATGAAAACAGTTCTCAGCAGAGAGGGAAGCTGGAGAGGCAATGGGAAAGGCAGGTTATCTTCCTCAAATTCAGGTTGTCTCTTCCTCTAAATCAGGCCATCTCTCTCCTCTACCAACTGAATCTGGGGTCTTTATAGGCATAGGATGGGGAATGTGTGTTGATTGGTTTGTGAGAATGAAAAAAAGATTAAAGTGAAGGCATCACTCAACGGTGAGCACAACAGTGTAGAAAAAAGATTAGGAAAGGGTAGGTACATGTAAAATAGGTGAAGGGTTGGGATCAATTAGAAGAAAGTGTGCCAAACAGGAAGACAAGTTCTCAATCCAGTCTGAGGATTTAACTTGTAGCTTGGATTTCCATCTTTAGACTTTGGCTTGGAGGTGGGGTTTCACCAGGTACCTATCCTTATTTGCCTAGGCATTTGATATCTGTAACTATCATTGGGATGATACCCACTGTAAGTTGAGAAGCACCTGTATATAATAGTTTCATATGTTATTAGAACAAAAGTATTTCTCTCACATATTCTCCTAAATATTAACTATTTTTCTAAGTTTTTTTTTCTCAATTTATTCTTGAATGTAGTAGTTTTGATAGTTGACTACCATATTATGATAATGTCTTTTGTATTTTTGGACATATTTCAAAAACTGATGTTTAAATTCACATAAATACAGTTTTGTTTGTTAGAGTTGTATTCAGTTTTAGCACAGTTTCTTTCCAATAGATTTATAAAAGCGAATTATACTGAAATATAAAATTATGCTTCATATTATAATTTCTGGTACAAAAACATCTGTAGCAAGTTACGTGGTAGCAAATAAAAATGAAATGTTCAAAATGTAAATTTTATTACAAACGGGATTTTAGGATGTTTTCTTCCCTGTGGAATATTTTTCATATGTGACCTAAATTTGGCTCAGTACTAAATCCTTCAACCAAAAAACCTATAAGTATGTAATGAAACACAATGAAACACAGAAGTGATGGTGTCACCTTCCAATATGGAAAAAAAAGGGCAAATAATTTAACCTATTTAAAGAAGACAGTGTAATAGTCAGATTCAAAATACATTTACAGCGTAAATCATTCTGAACTAAAATGATCTCACAAAAGCAAATCGTGTTCATGTCCATTTTTGTCCAAAAGTATAAAGTTTGCAGTTTCACTTTTTTAAGACACCTTAAATTGTTTTAAAAATTTCCTTTATTTTTATATTTTTGCTTAATTTTTCACATACTTTCGGCCTAGGACCAAAATCAGGATATTTTCTGCTAACTCAGTTGGCAGTAAATTGTGGGTAAATGCTGAGGATGCTGCTAATTATTCTACTAAGCACTGGATATCCCTCACTATAAAGTGTTATTCAGCCCATATGTCAGTATTGTAGAGATTGAGAAACACTTATCTACCTAAATTCAACACTTTATTCAAATGTTATCTTACATTTTCTTACTTTTACTACTTTTTTCACCTATAATGTCTCATCTTTGAACATAAAAAATTTATCTGTACATTTTATTTTATACTGATGCATGTCTTTTTTATGAAAATCTTTATAGTATTCAGTATTGTCAATTAACCCTTCAATATTCATGTCTTGTTTATTGTTTATAATCTAAAAAGTTTGAAGATTTTGTATATGCCACATGATCAGTAAGTAGCAAACAGATATTATAACAAATGCTGTTGCCCTGTCCATACGCCCTCTGCCTTCATATTTTTACAATGAAGGTTGCTAAGAGAACATTTACATTCTCTGTCTGAGAAAACTTTAAAATTTTTTTGCCACAGGAACCCACTTATTTTCTTACTTTCTTTTTTTAATTTTTTTTTCTTTTAGAGACAGGTTCTTACTCTGTCACACAGGCTGGAGTACAGTGGCAACCAGAGTTCACTGCAGCCTCAAATTCCTGGCCTCAAGAGATTCTCCTTCCTTGGCCTCCCAAATCACTAGGATTATAGTGCCACCATGCCCAGTCTCTTATTTTTAATCAAAACAAGTCAAAAGTTTTAAACAGATATTGCCCTTAGAAGTAATGTTCAACTAATGACTGGTGGGAGTGAATGAACACATAAATCAACTTCCGGTACCTTGATTGGCTTAACTTCAAGGTAAGTTTATTTCTCCCAGAGTTCCTCCCTGAATTAGCTCTAATAATATCCCTGAGCTGGCTTCTTTCTGTTCCTTGTCATTCTTCCCCACTATCCCATTGATTTTTCCTTGAATCACTTTCCCTGCACCCTGCAAAAAAAGAAAAAACAAAACATGTTTAATAAAATTCGACCTAAGATCTGCTTCTGGGTAGCCTAAACTAAGACATTATTTATTTAAAAATTAGAGAGTTTTGAGTAACAAATCTGAAATACAGTGATTTCCTATAGAGAGACATAGGAAATCTGGGTGATCTGGGTGTGCAGAGTGATTTAATAGGAAATGTCTAGAAAAGGATAAAAAAGTAATAGAAAAGAAAAGAATGATGAAAACCATTAGTGATGATAATTAGATTTCTTCTATCTTTTTCACAGATCTGAAAAAGATGAATTTGAGGTAGCATTGGGGTAGATTAAAAAACAAAAACCAGATGAATATAAATACATTGTTAGAGAATTTCAGAAGACAGTGAATGAATGAACAATTAAATTCATGTCTCCTGATCAAAAAGTCATATATAATTCTAAAGTTAGTATGAAATAACTTGACTATACACTTGCATACTACTGTACATGTACAGAAAACAAGCTGCAATTATTCATCAGTTGCCATGCCTTGCCTCTTGGTAAGTACCGGAATGTAAGCCAACATGTTTTGTAGTTTTCCTGGGGCAGAATGGAAGGCATATCATTATTGTCCCACTCTGGAACATTGGGAAGATTGACCGCCTATTCCCTATTGTCCCTTCTAAAATTTGTGGTTACTAAGATTTATTTTGCATCCGATGACTTAAACTATACTATAATTCAAACTGTTGCTCTTAAGGAGTGAAAGCATCCTATAATGTAGAAGATAAAGAAATGGTTTTGTGCAGAGCAATAAGTACTGAAAATAAAGGCCTTATCCACTTAGCAGTGAATAGACCTACAAGACACTAAAGTATTAAAATAAATCAGTCACTTAACTGCTCTTTTAACAAAACGTATTATTGATGTACTATCTTTAATATAAAATATGCATATTAAAACTTAACTACTATGATATAAGGTAAAATGACTCACCTGTTAAAAACCTATGTTGCAATAAACTCTAAATTTGCTGATAGGTATTTCAAGGTACTAAAAATGATTCATGGAGGAAACATGAACTTGGAAGGGATCGGGATTTCGTTGAAGGATAAGGACATACCAGGAAAAGCATGCACGGTCAACAAAGGCATTGCAATGGACACTTTTGAATAGACTGAATCAAACGGACCATAAGAGGAGAAAGAATGACCAGTTTTTTTTTTTTCTCACTGAAAATATGAGCCTGGATTTTTATATCATGCAAAATCATGGAGAAAAAAATTGAGGAGAGAGATGAATAAGTAATTTTTCTTGAACTATAGCATTCAAAGTATAATGCTGGGCCCTAACATACACTAACTCATTTAATTTGCCTCATCCATTGCAGTTGATTTTATCATCTATATTTGGAACCTAAAGAAACTAAGCTTGCTTCAGATAAGTTCATTTGTTCTAAGTAACTCTCCTCAACCATAGCAGAATCATGATTCTAAATTAGAATTAAGATAAAAACACAAAATACTTTTTTAATGTAAAATTTCATCTAATAAAGAATGGTCTTACCTTGGGCAACATGGTAAAACCCTGTCTCTACCCATCCAAAAAAAATTATCTGGGCATGTGGTGTGCACCTGTAGTCCTAGCTATTCGGGAGGCTGAGGTGGGAGGGTTGCTTCAGCCCAGGAGGTCGAGGATATGGGGAGCCATGTTTGCACCACTACACTCTAGCTTGGGTGACAGAGCAAGACTATATTTTTGAAAAAAATGCTTTTTTCAAATTGATTTTACAAAAAATTGATTTTTAAAATTGATTTTACAAAAAAAAAGGTATTCCAGTAACTAGTCAGTAAAAATTTTATGGAGAGATACAAGAAAATAGGGAAGACAGTCCATTTCATAAGAGATCTGAAGTTTAATAATACTTTAATAAATTATTTAAACTTTCAAAATCTTCAAAATTAACGAAGTTATTTTAATGATATTTTCCTTACAGAGGAAGTATCAAGCTAGAAAATACTCTTTCTTGGCCTATAGTTTGCACGATTCTTAAGCACTCTTTTTCTGCATTTTCCTTTGGTGAGTTTTGAAATCTGCATAATCACATTAAAGAAATGAGAAAAACAGAAAATAAAGGCTATAACAAGAACACAGTATGAAAGCAAATTCCATCACACATAAAAATATTAAAATGGAAAGCTGATGAAATGCTGTATTTGCCATTTAAAGCCTGCTAATATTGCTCTATAAATTACTGTAACACATGTTGGAAAAACTATTTGAAAGACCTGGAGGCCTTTTTCATTGCTTCACTTATTCTGTTTAACTACTGTCTATCTCAGTAAAATTGATTCACCTCTACAATTACAGCACGGAAACACCATGAAATCAGTAAAAGAAAAAGAAAGGTGACTGTGAATTAGCTACTTAAATATTAAGAAATCAGCCAAAGACACTATTTAAAAAACAAAGAACAATAAGATAAATGAGCATTGCAAAACAACTGTTTTTGATTAAAACTACAAAATGCGCTTGTAGCAAAAAGCATGATAACCAAAGAATTACAAAAAATGAATTAAAACAAAAGAACAGCCTTATCGCTACTAAGTTTATAATAAGCATATATTTAGTTGAAATAAAGTATTTAGACACATATAATTCATATGATTGTATATGAGATATTATATTTTTATGATTCACAAATTTATCATATTAGAAGAAAAATAGGCTGGGCCCAGTGGCTCATACCTTTAATCCCAGTGCTTTAGGAGACTGAGGCAGGAGGATCTCTTGAGGCCAGGAGTTCAAGATAGGCCTCAGCAACATATGAGACCCTGTTTCTACTAAAAAATGAAAAAAAAAAAAAAATGCTGGGCGTGGTGATGTGCACACATAGTCCTGGTCACTCAGGAGGCTGAGGTGAGGGAATTGCTTGAGTCCAGGAGTTGGAGGCTGCAGTGAACTATGATTATGCCACTGCATGACAACCTGATCAACAGAACAAGACCCTATCACTAAAAGAAAACTAAAAGGCAAAAGAATAGTACTGTTTTATTAATTACATATAATTGAATGTTTCTCTATTTTAAAAGTGAACGCACAAAAACATATTAAATGGGCCAAGTAACATTTCCACTTACATATAATATAAATTTTACTATTTCTTTTTTTCTTTTCTTTTTTTCTATCTTGAGACAGGATCTCACTCTGTTGCCCAAGCTGGAGTTCAGTGACAAGCTCTCTGTTCACTGCAACCTGTGCCTCTCAGGCTCAAGCAATCCTCCCACCTGAGCTTCCAGAGTGACTGGAACCACAGGCCTGCACCACCATGCCTGGCTAATTTTTGTATAATTTGTAGAGACAGGGTTTCACCATGTTGCTCTGGCTGGTCTCAAACTCCTGAGCTCAGGTGATCCACCCACCTCTGCCTCTCAAAGTGCTAGGATTACAGGCATGGCCATTTTTTTTTTTATTATTTCTCAATGACTATAATAAAATGGACCCAGATATACATCTGATTTTTATATAATAATATTTGGAGATTACATATATATTAACCCAAGTACAATGACATTGGAGTTAAAGAAATTTTTTCTGAGAATTATGTGGTTGTCAATTAAGTTTCCAAGGATGCTACAAATCTGCTTTTACGTTTTCTTTTATCTTCCTGGCAATTTAATTAGAAGGAGTGGGAGACAATTGCATAATAGGAATTGCTGTTCTACTATTCATAACCAGTTTAACCCTTGCCTTTTTTATTGGCCTTGAAGTAGTTGTTCTAAAATAACATTTTAAAAATAGTACTTAATAGTGTTAATATTGTTTTTATTATTCTCAGGAAAAAAAATCCTTTAAAGTAATTATTCACTAAATGGAATAAGCTGGCATATTGCAAAGTTTAATAAACTCCAGCAGCCCATTAAATTAAAAGGCAAATATCTTTATCTTGGGCTGACATGATACCTGTGGAAATGCTGTCACACTCTGAGTTATTTGCAATTGGAACAAATTAAGCACTTTGCATGACTTACTGGCATAACTAACTTTTTTTGAATTTCTATTAGCTCTACAGTACTTTTCCAAGATGTGAGAATAAGAGGATGGATTTAGCCAGTGTTAGATACCTTGTTTTTCTCCAGGAGAACAGAGAGAAAGACTGTTATCTTTTTAAAGAAATCACTATTTTTTTTCATTTAACAGTTGTTTTGATATTCCTATCTAAGAAAAAAAATGATTAGAGATTTCTGTTTTCAATTATTAAATGTAGAAAGCTAGGAAGAGTTTTCCCCACTGGGAAAATTTCAGTTTAATGACTTTCCAGTACCAATCAGAAATCGGAGATCACAGGAAAAACAACTAACCTGAAATGCGGAAACTGGAGATTTCAGGGAGAAACCAGATCCTAACATTGGATTACTTGAGGCAGATGATGCCAGATGGCACATAAGCTGGTGAACTAAAAAGGACTGGATGCACTCTTCCTTCCAAAACAACCAAAAAGCAAACAAAACGCAACAGAAAGCAAGACACTGCACATTAGGCAACAAAAGACAGTGATACCTGTGTGATGGAGAACAAATGAAGAGAACACTGGAATAGACCCACTTTATAGAGTGTCCAGTAATGGTGCAGGGTAGGGGAGCCCAACTGAAGCCTAGCGAATGTGGGAGAACAGAGCTGGGAATCCAGAGAAACAAGGGAGCCCAAATTATTGGGACAAGAGTACCAGAGACAGAGCTTATTCAGAGAATGAACCTCAGAGGTCTGCATAGGGTCCCACTTTTGTATTTAGTTAACTGATGATCAGCACATGCATGTAAGGAAACCATTGGAGGCTGAAGAAAGAGCCATTAAAAAGATTAGAAGTAACAATATCCATTGCTCACAGAGGACCTTGAAAATTACCTATCTCACCAGCCATATGTTTCAATGATCAATTTTCTAGTGGTAAAGTATTCAAAAAGGACTTTCCTCAGAAATAGAGAATAATTGGTCATAGACTGGTCCTGCTTAACAAATCTCAAAAGTAAGACCTGAAAGATATACCTATTTTCAAGTAATTTAACTGCTTCTCAGAACAAAACCTATATGTGTATATGTATAGAAATGCAGTATTTTGAGCACCCGACTAGATAAAATCAGGAAGCAGGAAGCAGGAAAATATGACTTATCTGGGAAGTTTTCTCTTTGTTATTTTGTCCCACATATTCTAGCTGACAGTATTCTCAAACACCCAGTTACATCTCCTTAACTCAGTCTAACTACTAGACTCAGTCTGCATTGTATCCTGGAAGATAGCATAAGGATCACCTCATCTATCTCCTTTTTCTCAGATGTCACTGTCCTGCACTTTCTATTTTCTAATGTCCAAAAACTGTTCTTTCATGTATTTTGACCAGGATTCTTGTTGCTTAGCAAATGAAGATAAATTTTGTTCCTGTTACTTCGTTATAGACACAAGCATGATCTGTGTCTTTTTTTGGATAATTTTGACTTTTACTATAATACCTGAAAAATCAATAAAAATGGAGAAAATCCTAAATTTGATACAAGCAGAAAAAAATAAATACCATTTTTAAATATTATTTGAAAAGATTAACACATGCATACCAAAAGAAGAAGGAAGAAAAACTAGTCCAAATATCTTGAATGGAAATGTTTGGTTGTATATTCTTAAAAGAAAAAGGAAAGCTATAAAGAAATATTAAGGAAAGTTTTTTTGCAGCTTTTAAAAAAAGTATAATGAGAATAATGGGAGTCAGGTTTTCAATAAACAGAGAAGAAAGTTACACATATGGTAAAGTAGAAAAATAGAATGAACTCTGGGGTGTTAAATATATTGCTTATAAGCTAGATGGATAGGTAAGTAGCTGGGTGGGTAGATAGTTGGGCATGAAGATACAGATATACAAATGTGTGTATGTATGGATGGATGGATATGTAAGTTTTTCCTTAGCTCTGTCTAATAAGAAGGCTCAGAAACAATGAAACCTTAGGAGCAATGGCAATACCTCAGGGCAATATCTAATCCGAGTTAACATTTCTGTTACCAAAACACCAGGGGTGTGGTCTAGGTCCACTACTCGCCACTACAGAATTGCCACACAGAAAGACAATGACTGAAACAATGAGTATTGCTGAGACAGAAGGCTTTAATCAGGTGTTGCAGCCAAGGAGATGGGAACTCAATCTCAAATCCATCTACCTGAACAAATAAAAATAGAGGTTTACATAGCAGAGAAGAAATGTAATAATGTGTATGAAAATAGAAACTAGGGAGGGGCAAGGAAGCAATCATGATTAATGAGGGGTCCTGCATCTCATCGTCCGAATGTGGTGATCGGATAAGTTTCAATTCTTTGATGCTTTTTGAGAGAACTGAAGGTGATTTCCTATGGAAGGGACTGAGATAAAACCAATGTAACCCTCAAGCTTTAAGACCAGAAGTGTCGATTTCTATGTTTGTCAAAAAAACTATCTATAGGATTATTGGGTTGGTTTCATTTCCACTAAAAAAAAACAAACAAAAACTGGGCTCCTCAAGGAATGGGACAGAGAAAACAAAGATGAAGCTGCAATATTTTGTGCCTAAAGTAAGGAAATGCCTGTAATAGACTATGCTAAAAAGTAAGAAAATGTTCAAGACTCATATGGGTATGTAAGAGAGACACAGGAGATAGCTTGAAGGATCTCCCATTGACCAAATCTATGGTGATTTAGCATTAAAATATATCATGATAATGGCATGTAATCTATTATGATAGGAATTCTTGATTTCACACTACTATGAATGAATTAATTAACAAGAGGAAAGAAAAAGTTCTTCCTTACAGTAGAAGGGCAACTAGTAAATATAGAAGATAATATGAGTAATTTTTTAAAAATCACCTAGGTTGTCTTCCAGGGTTTTTATAGTTTAGGAATTTAAATTTAAGTTTTTAATTCCTTTTTAGTTTTCATGATGAAGATGCAAAAAGTACTTGCAACAAAAGCAAAAATTTACAAATGGGATTTAATTAAATTTAAGAGCTTCTGTGCAGCAAAATACTGTCAACAGAGTAAACAGACAACCTACAGAATGGGAGAAAATATTTGCAAACTATGTATCTGAAAACATTCTATATCTAGCATCTATAAGTGACTTAAATTTATAAGAAAAAGAAAAACAACCCCATTAAACAGTGGGCAAAAGATATAAACAGGCACTATTCAATAAAAAGATATACATGTAGCCAACAAGCATATGATGAAAAGCTCAATGTAACTTATCATTAGAGAAATGAAAATCAAAATCACAATGAGATACTATCCACTACCAGTCAGAATAGCTATTATTAAAGATTCAAAAAATAACAGATGCTGTTGAGGTTGTGGAGAAAAGGGAACATGTTACTGCGTGTGTAAGTTTGTTCACCAGCTGTGGAAAACAGTGTGGTAATTCTTCAAAAAGCTGAAAATAAAACTACCACTCAACACAGCAATTCCATTACTGGGAATATACCCTGATAAATATACATCATTCTACCATAAAGAAACATACATGTGAATATTCATTGCAGCACAATTCACAATAACAAAGACATGAAATCAACCTAAATGCCCATCGGTGACAGACTGGATAGAGAAAATGTGATATATATACACCATGGAATACTATGCATCCATAAAAAATGAGATCATGTATTTTGTGAGAACATGGATGGAACTTGAGGCCATTATCCTTAGCAAACTAACACAGAAATAGAGACCCAAATATCGCAGGTTCTTACTTACAAGTGGGAGCTAAATGATGAGAACTCATGAACAGAAGGAAGGGAACAACAGACACTGGGGCCTACTTGAGGGTGGAGCATGGGAGAAAGGAGAGGATCAGAAACAATAACTATAGGGTACTAGAGTTAGTACCTGGGCAATGAAATAGCATGTACAACAAACCACTGTGACACAAGTTTACCTGTATAACAAACATGCACATGTGCCCCTGAACCTAAAATAAAAGTTAAAAAAATTTACCACAGTACAAATACTTAGTTCCTGCAAGCATCAGTGAATACTAAAATGAATGAGTGGAAGTTTGAGGAAGTCAGTATATTAATATTTATATCATTTTGTTATGGACAGGAGGCAGGGAAATGCCAGGTAGAAAGGGCGGGGTCCCTGGCAAGAGTTTCACCCTCAAGCCTGGATCCGAAGCCCTAAATGAGAACTTCACATCCCTGTTTTCCTGCCTGAATGTTGCCTTTTAACCCGCCACACCCCCTACCCTGTGCCCATAAAAACCCCAACTCCCCCACATCCCCTACTCTGTGCCCATAAAAACCCCAAGCTCCACTGGCAGAGCAGCAGAGCAGTGCAGCAGAGAAGGAGAGAAAAGAAGAAGGGTTTCAATATCGAGAGGAGAAGAGGCAGCTGGACATCAGAGACTATGTTCGGGCTTCAGGGAAAGATCACCTTCTTCCAACATCATTCCCTTTCCAGCTCCCCTTCCACTGAGAGTCACTTCCACCACTTAATAATATCCTCCACATTCATCACCTTTCAAATCATTCATGTAACCTGATTCTTCCCAGTTGCTGGACAAGAATTCGGGATGACTGGGTGTAGGAACCCAAAAAGGCTGTCACACTGACTCTTCACTGAGCTGCTTAACACCTAAGCCATCCGTGGATGGCAAAGCTAAAAGAGCATTAATTGTAACACATCCCTAGACACTGCTGTGGGGCTGGAGCCCAAAAGCGCTCACCCCGCCCCGGCACCCGCTCACGTCTGTGCTCCCTCCTGGGAGGGGTTGAGCCCAGCGGGTACAAGTAAGTGAGGTTTATTCCTGCCAGTGCCGAATTGGCTGGCTGGGTCCAGAGCCAGTGCACAGTTTCCACCTGCAAAAGGGTCAAGGGAACCATCTCATCTCAATTTCAAAATATCTCTCACTAATGCAAAAGAAAATGAAAGTAAACTACGGTGGAAAAATCTAGCTACACAACTTTAAGCAAATGACCAAAATTAGCGTTACTAATAGTGTGACAATTCAAAATTGTGTGATTCTTGATGATTCTGAGAGAAATTGAACATCACTTATGTGAAATTCTTGCCAAAAATGTATTAATTGAATCAATTAATGAGGGAATAGTATAGTGACTCTACTTGAGAGACAATCTTTAAAATCACTGCCCTTTTTTCTTAATAATTAACGGTGTACAATGGATAACTGCAATGTATTTATGCAAATAATGCCATTGTTATAGGAAATAAGCACAGAAATATTTAATGGTAAAGAGGCCTCATGTCTGCCAGTTACTCTCAAATGGGTCATAACATAACATAACATATATACACATACAAATATACCTACATACATATATAGAGAAAATGACAAAGAAAATATAATAAAGTGTTAACAACTAGGTAAGCTGTGTAAAGGATAAATAGAAGTTCTATGTACTATTCTTCAGTGTTGTAATTTTGTATTTTTAAAAAATATTTAAATTCCCAATATATATTAGTATAATTAAAAGTAAAAATAAATAAATTGAATTAAAGACATTTTCAGATATTTCTTTCCTTCCATAATGCTATCACTGAAACAAATTTTATTAATATCACGTAAAATCTTACAAATATGTTTGAGGTCCAAAGAAGTTATAGAAAAAGTCAGTTATCTTACAAACAAGAAAAGTTTACAAGAAAAACAAAAGGACATTGTTGGAGGGATAATTTTTAAAATGTGGAAACAGAGATAGAAAATCTGATCTGAGTTTCCAAACATTTTTCAGTTATGAACATTGAATTCAGGAGATATATTTATAATTTCCATAACGAAATGTACCCTGACAGGCAAAGTTATATTTTCCAACATTTATGTGACCCATGATTTTCCCAATGTTGAGAGCTTTTGATTTAAATAGAAATGATGGTGCTAAGAATATTTATTAATATAAAATATATTTTATATTTTCTATCTACCTTTACCAAATCTTGTACTATTATTTTTCTTATGTGTCCATCCTCAACACTAACAATTTTCTAGATATTCTGCAATTATACCGAGCTTGTTATCTGTCAGAGTCATTGAACTTGCCCTTTTGTTTTCTATGATTCCTTCCTTCCAGACATTGACAAGACTTTCTTGTTTCATGTTTCAACGGCTCTCTGACCAAATGCCATGTTTTTAGTGAGGTATTCTCTAAGAACCCTTTCCAAAACATGGTCTTTTTTGAATCCCTCATTATTCATCAGCTTTATCTCCTTTGGTAGCATATGAAGCACATTGTATGTTTGTCTGTTATTCCTTCAAGGGCATCTAGTGTGCAGTGGCATTACAAGCAAATGAAGCAATATTTAAAACTGATTCCAAATTCAATAACCTAGCTACTGACTTCACCAGGATACCCTACTTTTATTATTCCCTTGAATGTTTGGCCAGCAATTATTCAGCCATTAGTTTTTTATTTTATTATTTCCCAGGGTGTCAATAATAAAATATAATAAAATTAATACTCTTTACCTGTGTTTTGTTTTGTTTTTATCTGTTTGTATATCTATGTCTAAATTTATGAGTATGTTCTAATTCATAAGACTAAGGCAAGCTCTTACAGTTTTTGGCAAAAAGGTAAGGAGTAAGGGAGGAAAAAGGAATGAATGTGTGGGTCACTGACCAGAACCAGTGCTTATGGCTTGTGCTACACAGAGTTAGGTTAAAGGTGCCTTTGTGCTGTGTTATTTCAGATGATGCCTAAGCTTTAGGTTTTTCTTTTTTTTTTTTTTTTTTGTATTCATTCTTTTTTTTTTTTTAATGTTTTTTTTTTTAATTATACTTTAAGTTTTAGGGTACATGTGCACATTGTGCAGGTTAGTTACATATGTATACATGTGCCATGCTGGTGCGCTGCACCCACTAACGTGTCATCTAGCATTAGGTATATCTCCCAATGCTATCCCTCCCCCCTCCCCCGACCCCACCACAGTCCCCAGAGTGTGATATTCCCCTTCCTGTGTCCATGTGATCTCATTGTGCAATTCCCACCTATGAGTGAGAATATGCAGTGTTTGGTTTTTTGTTCTTGCGATAGTTTACTGAGAATGATGGTTTCCAATTTCATCCATGTCCCTACAAAGGACAGGAACTCATCATTTTTTATGGCTGCATAGTATTCCATGGTGTACATGTGCCACATTTTCTTAATCCAGTCTATCATTGTTGGACATTTGGGTTGGTTCCAAGTCTTTGCTATTGTGAATAATGCCGCAATAAACATACGTGTGCATGTGTCTTTATAGCAGCATGATTTATAGTCATTTGGGTATATACCCAGTATTGGGATGGCTGGGTCAAATGGTATTTGTAGTTCTAGATCCCTGAGGAATCGCCACACTGACTTCCACAATGGTTGAACTAGTTTACAGTCCCACCAACAGTGTAAAAGTGTTCCTATTTCTCCACATCCTCTCCAGCACCTGTTGTTTCCTGACTTTTGAATGATTGCCATTCTAACTGGTGTGAGATGATATCTCATAGTGGTTTTGATTTGCATTTCTCTGATGGCCAGTGATGATGAGCATTTTTTCATGTGTTTTTTGGCTGCATAAATGTCTTCTTTTGAGAAGTGTCTGTTCATGTCCTTCGCCCACTTTTTGATGGGGTTGTTTGTTTTTTTCTTGTAAATTTGTTTGAGTTCATTGTAGATTCTGGATATTAGCCCTTTGTCAGATGAGTAGGTTGCAAAAATTTTCTCCCATGTTGTAGGTTGCCTGTTCACTCTGATGGTAGTTTCTTTTGCTGTGCAGAAGCTCTTTACTTTAATTAGATCCCATTTGTCAATTTTGGCTTTTGTTGCCATTGCTTTTGGTGTTTTGGACATGAAGTCCTTGCCCACGCCTATGTCCTGAATGGTAATGCCTAGGTTTTCTTCTAGGGTTTTTATGGTTTTAGGTCTAAAGTTTAAATCTTTAATCCATCTTGAATTGATTTTTGTATAAGGTGTAAGGAAGGGATCCAGTTTCAGCTTTCTACATATGGCTAGCCAGTTTTCCCAGCACCATTTATTAAATAGGGAATCCTTTCCCCATTGCTTGTTTTTCTCAGGTTTGTCAAAGATCAGATAGTTGTAGATATGCGGCATTATTTCTGAGGGCTCTGTTCTGTTCCATTGATCTATATCTCTGTTTTGGTACCAGTACCATGCTGTTTTGGTTACTGTAGCCTTGTAGTATAGTTTGAAGTCAGGTAGTGTGATGCCTCCAGCTTTGTTCTTTTGGCTTAGGATTGACTTGGCGATGCGGGC
This sequence comes from Homo sapiens, assembly GCF_000001405.40. NCBI lineage: Eukaryota > Metazoa > Chordata > Mammalia > Primates > Hominidae > Homo > Homo sapiens. The sequence continues at coordinate 99,691,572 of NC_000005.10, read as the reverse complement.
TCTTTTTTGGTTCCATATGAACTTTAAAGTAGTTTTTTCCAATTCTGTGAAGAAAGTCATTGGTAGCTTGATGGGGATGGCATTGAATCTGTAAATTACCTTGGGCAGTATGACCATTTTCACGATATTGATTCTTCCTACCCATGAGCATGGAATGTTCTTCCATTTGTTTGTGTCCTCTTTTATTTCCTTGAGCAGTGGTTTGTAGTTCTCCTTGAACAGGTCCTTCACATCCCTTGTAAGTTGGATTCTTAGGTATTTTATTCTCTTTGAAGCAATTGTGAATGGGAGTTCACTCATGATTTGGCTCTCTATTTGTCTGTTGTTGGTGTATAAGAATGCTTGTGATTTTTGTACATTGATTTTGCATCCTGAGACTTTGCTGAAGTTGCTTATCAGCTTAAGGAGATTTTGGGCTGAGACGATGGGGTTTTCTAGATAAACAATCATGTCGTCTGCAAACAGGGACAATTTGACTTCCTCTTTTCCTAATTGAATACCCTTTATTTCCTTCTCCTGCCTGATTGCCCTGGCCAGAACTTCCAACACTATGTTGAATAGGAGCGGTGAGAGAGGGCATCCCTGTCTTGTGCCAGTTTTCAAAGGGAATGCTTCCAGTTTTTGCCCATTCAGTATGATATTGGCTGTGGGTTTGTCATAGATAGCTCTTATTATTTTGAAATACGTCCCATCAATACCTAATTTATTGAGAGTTTAAGCCTTTGACAAAATTCAACAACCCTTCATGCTAAAAGCTTTAGGTCTTTCTATGCCACCCAATGAACCTGTGTCATCTCACCACTCAATCCTCACTTTTAAGGGTATAATATATTCAACCTTTCTTAAGTCTAAATGATATAATTTTTTAAAATGGGGTTGTAATTAGACTAAATTTTAAAAGCTATATTTACATGATAATGTTAGGTTTGGAAAATATTTCAAGATGTAACTACAGAGAAACACCAAAAAATTCCAAAGAACAAAAGCCACATCACACATACACACACACACACACACACACACACACAAATTTGGGAAATAATTTAATTTGTTTTAAAAACTCTGTAAAAACTATTTGTAAAGTAAAATAGAATTTAGAAAATGGAAATATTTTTAACACATAGTTTAGGCAGCTATGCAATATACTAGGAGCTAGAATTTAGACAACCTACATGTTTTATAAAATCTTTTATTGTTCCTGGTTGGATTTGCAGTTTGAACTGCTAGCCTGCATGCTTCTGCCGAATTTCAAAATGATCTTAGAATGTCTAAATTGGACGCTTTGAAATACTTTGAAATCTATTTTAATCAAATGGGAAAATAAAATAAAATTTAAAGTAATTTGGATCTCTTGTTTTCTATCACTTTCTCCTAGATTCCATTTGCCTGCTCTCTCCTATGTTGCCAGTACAAAATCCATTCTGTTCAGCTCTACCTAATTTGCTGATGGAATTGGAATCTGCTTTGTTCACTTTCTATTGAATTAAAACAGGAAGAAATAATGGACTCTATTCACAAGCTCCGGGCTCTGCTTAAAATAGGACCACCTCAGTGGGATCTCTGCCATACCTGGCTGCTTTGTCTCAGTTCTGCTTGACTGAAAATTGACTCTGCAATGTATTTCTGCATATGCGGCTTGTTTTTCCTGGTTGTTTTATGGATAAGCATCTGATTCCCTCTGTCTTTGCTTTATTGAAAAATCCTGCACCAATTTTGGTTTTGCCAGCCAGAAGCGTAAAAGCAGGTTGTATTCAAAGCAAGGACCAGAAGGAAATTTGATAGCTTTAATGAATAAATAATGAGTGTATATTTTAAATGACTCATGCATGCTTTGAAAACAACAATTTTAAATATCTAATTGGGAAAAATTATTGTATATCAAGTCAGGCAATATGGATAATGAGTTTCTATATATTTAAATATGTGGGGAATTTGAAAATTGGTCTAATTATAGTATAAATTTCAGGAGAGGAATACAAATTGCAGTAGTATAAATTCATTAACTCATGCCATGATCATTTTACCCAACTTAATGGGTAGGCTACTGAGGCTTCTTACTACTTGAGATTAACATTAAGACTATTGTTTATATGGCTATAGGAAAGGTTTTTTATTTTTTTAAACTTTGCATTACTGTTGACTCATTTTCTTTCTTTTATGATAGTTGAGGGTAGAACATATACCTGTCTTGTTCTTAACTTCTTCATTTGATAGTCAACCAATAATTGAAGATATACATAAAAACATACAAATTTTCTCAAATTTCTCGTTTCCTTTAGCTACACTCTTCTAGATTCTTATATGTATTTTCTAAGTACCTTTACCCATTCTCTTCTCTAATTCTACACTGAGTAAACCAAGGCACTGGAAGTTATTATTAATAGGTTTTTTTCTAAGTCCTTGATGTCTTAAAGACAGAAAAAGAATGGTCCTGTTGGCTTAAGGACAGAAAAAATTATTTTAGTATGAAGAAAGTACTACTTGAAAGTATATGAAAATGTTTTGATAGTGTGGTCAGGATTTCCATTTTTTACCTTGAGTAGATTTCTGACTTCCTAAGGAATTCTAGAGAAAAACATATATCAATCCAGTTTTTTTGCAACTTTAGAGATTTTATAAATTTTAGGTTGCTAAGCGGTCACATACAAGTGATATAAAAAATGTACCACCAGAAGATTTATTCAAAACTGCTTATTGTGGCTGGCTCATATCTCTTTCAAGAGGAACCTCACACCTATGCAACTCTTAAAACCTCATTTCATTCTGGCTTATTTTCAAACAATACCAGAATTAGCCAATCGAGAGAAACTTGATAAATCCGTTTGAAAATAAATAAATTCTGTCCTAGAGAATTCCTTTCTAATCTCCTTGTGAACATTTGACATTTGTGTCATCCATAATCCCTGACAGAACTGACTTTCTTGAAATGTCATGGAACTTGTGTCACTCTCCTGTCCAGATGATTATCCTAAGCATATAGCCTCTATTTTCAACCAAAAGGGAATGGTGAAAAGGACAGTAGGATAATAAAATAACAAAAATTATTATGTTGTGATACTTTTCAAATAGATATGAAATGCAAAAATCTATAATTTAAACTTCAGCTCAGAAAGAAAATGAAGTTATTAGAGCCAGAATACTAACATGACTCCAGTGATCTTCATATTCCCCTTGAATATGGATAAGATATACAACTACAGTGACTTGTGATGGCAAAAGGAATTTTACAGAAGTAAGTACGGCTACTAATTCATTGAATTTAGGTTAATCAAAGGAGACATTATTCAGACAGGATTGACCCAATCACATGAGCTTTTACAATCTGGGTCTAGGGGACGAAAAATAGGAAGTCTATAACTCCACAACCGTCTATAGCTCTACAAAATGTAGCTATTTCTATTTTAAGTGATTTGCTTTATGAAGATAATATTGTGTTATACTTTAGATCAGGCTCACTCACGTTTGAATTCCTGTTCGTGCATTTAAGATATTTTTATTTAAGCAAGTTGTGTAACAAGTCTCATTCACACTTTTATAATATTTAATTAGCATTAAATGGATAACATAAAGTTCCCAGAGGTGTTTTCATTAAAATTAGCAGTCAGCACATGTTATCTTCTATTTTTTGAGATTTTAATATGTTTTTAGATAATGTTAGCATACTTTTGACAAACAATAATTCTTATTAACAGATACTAGACTATTCAGCTGTTCACACATTTTCAAGATACATATCTTATATTTAGAGAGAAATATTACATATATAATCTTAGAGAAAAATTTAATGCTTGACAATGACCTGTAATATCAATCTTTAAATAAAACGACAAGCATGTGAAGGGTAAGAGTGAAGACACGACCCATTTATCAATACTGATAATTCTATAAAGTCTCAAGAAATATTTTATTTTCTTGATTTTAGGGTATGTTTTTAGTATCTCTTCATTAATACAAAACAAAGATGTATTTAAATGGAAATGTACCTTTATTTTGATTTTTCTTCAAAAAATTAGTGGCATATTGTACATTAAACTGCATGCTATTTAGATAAAAACATATGATACTTTAATTTTTTATCTTTTTTTAAAGGCCATAGCAATAGAGGATATCTCTCTTTCTCTCTCTATATATATATATTTCTCCAATGAGAAATATGTTTATTTCTGTAGTGTAAAAATCCGTGCTTTGGGATTCTATGAACATTTGGAAGGTATTTTCTGCAACCTGCTGGGGATGGAAGTGTTTTCCCTGCAGAAAGTTGTCAAAATGTTTGAAGAAGTGGCAGTCAGTTGGCGAGAGGTCAGGGAATGAGGCAAAACTTCGTAGCCCAATTCGTCCAACTTTTGAAGCATTGGTTGTGGGATGCGTAGCCAGGTGTCATCGAGGAGAAGAATTGGGCCTTTTCTGTTGACCAATGTCAGATGCAAACGTTGCAGTTTTAGTGGCATCTCATCGATTTACTAAGTATACTCCTCAGATGTATTAGTTTCACCAGGATTCAGAAAGCTATAGTGGATCAGACTGGCAGCAGACCATCAAACAGTGACCATGACCTTTATTTGGTGAAAGTTTGGCTTTGAGAAATGCTTTGGAGCTTTTTCTTGATCTAAACACTAAGCTGGTCATAGCCGGTTGTCATATGAAATCCTCTTTTCATTGCATGTCACAATCCAATTGAGAAATGGTTCGTTGTTATTGAGTAGAATAAGAGAAGACAACACTTCAAAACTATTATTTTTTAAATTTTTGGTCATCTCTTGAGGCACCCATGTATTGAGCTTTTTCATCTTTCCAATTTGCTTCAAATGCCCAACGACCATAAAATAGCTGACATTGAGTTATTTTGGCAACTTCTCGTGTAGTTGTAAGAGGATCAGCTTAGATGATTGCTCTCAGTTGGTCGTTGTCAACTTCTGATGGCCAGCCACTACACTCCTCGTCTTCAAGGCTCTCGTCTCCTTTGCAAACTTCTTAAGCTACGACTGCACTGTATGTTTGTTAGCAGTTCCTGGGCCAAATGCATTCATTGTTGATGTTGAAAATTGTTTCTACTGCTTTATGTCCCATTTTGAACTAGAATAAGAAAATCACTCAAATTTGCTTTTTGTCTAACATCATCTCCATAGTCTAAAATAAATATAAAATAAATAACAAGTAATAAGTCATTTGCAGAAAAAGATAATGCGTGAAATGTCCATTAAAATGATGTATAACATAGCCACATTTATTTAAGCATGTATTCTAGTATCAAACAGCAAATCCCAACAATGCAAAAACCACAATTCCTTTTGCACCAACCTAGTACATACATATGTACGTGTGTGTGTGTATATATATACACAATCGATTCATATCTCTTTTAGTTATTTTTTACTTGTTTATTTTCATATTTCTCACACAGGAAGCTCTACAAGAGCATGAGGATGTTTGTGCTATTTAATGCCCTATCTATAGTTTCTATAAGGGAGTCTGGAGGATGAAAGGTAAGTAACAAATATTTTCTAAAAGGTAAGTATGTAAAAAGGGGCATCAATTAATTAATTAATATGTAGATCCCCCCCACAGTATCTAACATTTTATCTAAAAATACATCTTGAATTATGGAAAAATGAAAAAAGGAAAGAAAAAGAGCAAAGAATACAAGGGGGAAGGAGGGATAGAAGTAGGGAAAAATAAAGGAAGGTGGTATTTCTGAAGTTATGTAAGTATTATTAAAGTGTGAATTTCTTACAGCTTTCTTTTTTCTTTCTACAATTTAAAATGTTGTTCCATATTGCTTTTTCCTCAACTCATTTTGTTTCATTCTACACATTCTTATACAGCAGTTGGATTTTTCCTTGAATGAAATTTTATGATAATATATGATATTATCCATATGATAATTAATTCCAAAAAATATAAACTCCAGGAAAAAAATGCTCATCCCTAAGACATAGACCTAAATTTCTAAATGAAGATCACACTGCAGAGGTCCTTTGTATATCACAAGCTTACTGAATCTACAATGAAATTGATCACACCTTCATGACAATGCTTGCTGCTCTTCCTTGGTTCACCACTTAAGTGAATGTTTACATCAACTCTTTCAATATTTATTGACCATCTGCGACAGGCACTGTCTAGGGGCTAAAAGTTTCCCCAAGCCAGGATCATGGATTTCACTCTTATTTTCCTTTTTTGCAGTGGTCACATAGATTCTTTTTAAAAAATATTTTGAATTTGTCAATATCTTTCCAATATGCTCTGTCAATGTATTCATCATCTCTCATCTATATTATAGCAACAATCTTCTGGCTAATTTCCCTAATTCATACTTTGTTTCCTAGAATCTATTCTTCACTGTGGTGATATAGAAACATCAAACCTAATCATGCCAGTCTCTATCTTTAGACTTTTATGTTCTACTGATTGCCTTCTAGACAAAATTCAAGTTATGCGTAATTGGCGAAGATGGAAATCATCCAAATAGCAAAAGTGAACAAACAAAACGTTAATAAATGTAAAGGCTAAAATAAATCTCGAACATCATGTATGTCCAAAAATAATCAACTTGAGGAATTACATTAATTGGAAACAGCATTAATATTTTTAGCTAATAAACATGTATATCTGTATATCTATCCTTGTGCAGAGAAAATGAACCTTGTATCTGTATGAATCCTAAAGCATGCATTTCTCACATAAAATGTTATTTCCTTCCTCTCTATCCACCATCTTAGTTTTTCACTGATGTCATGCTCAGTCAGAATGAACCTCCTCTTTCTAGTCTTAGGTATTTAGCTCAAATGTGTCTTTCCTTTCTTCCTTTTTTTTTCTTGAGACAGGGTCTCACTCTGTTTCCCAGGTTGGAATGCAGTGGTGAGATCATAGCTCACTGCTCACTGTAACCTCTAACTCTTGGGCTCTAGGAATCCTTCTGTCTCAGCCTCTGGAGTAGCTGGGATTATAGTCACATGCAATGTGCAACCAGGGCAGGCTGTTGCTTGTTTGTTTGTTTTTGTAGAGACAGGATCTCATGGTCTCTCTAGTTTGTGCAGGCTGGGTTTGAACTCCTGGCCTCAAGTAATTCTCCCACCTTGGCCTCTCAAAGTTCTGGGATTACAGTCGTAAGCCACTACACCCTGTCCAAATGTTTCTTAGAAACTTTTTCAACCAAGATTTCTGTACCTCTTTGTAATAACTCCTTCCCACATCTACCTGTCCCTGCCCTACCTATTCCTAGGAAAACATTTAATTTTTTTTTACTACCATTATAGATTAGTCTGGATTTTCTAACACTTTATCTAAATAGAAACATACAGTATGTACTATTTTTCACCTGGCATTTTTTCAGGCAGCATATTATGTTGACATTCAGCCATGTTATTGGTGTATATTAGTAGTTCATTCCTTATCAATGTTGAGTAGATTCCCACTATATGGATATGCCACAATTAGTTTACTCATTCACCTATGGATGGGCATTTGCTATAAACATCCTTAAACAGGCTTTCTATGAAAGTGTATTTTCATTTTAGTTTTCCTTGGAAAAAATACTTAGGAATGGAATGCCTGGGTAAATGAAAGGTGTATCCTTAGCTTTTAAGAAACTAATAAAATGTTCTCCTAAGTTGATGTACTTTTTCCATTCTCACTTGCAGTGTATGAGATTTCTATTTCCTTCAAATCTTTGTTAGCATTTGGTATAGTCGTATATATAGAGAGATATGTTTTTAATTTTAGCTATTCTAATAGGCTGAAAGCAATTACCGTCAAATCCCAGTAGGCTTTTTTGTTCGTTTGTTTGCTTTTTGAGATGCAGTCTTGCTCTGTCACCCAGACTGGAAAGCAATGGCACAATTTCTGCTCACTGCAGCCTCCATCTCCTGGTTTCAAGCTATTCACCTGCCTCAGCCTCTCGAGTAGCTGGGACTACAGGTGTGCACCACAACTCCCAGCTAATTTTTGTGTGTTTAGTGGAGATGGGGTTTCACCCTGTTGGCCAGGCTGGTCTTGAATTCCCGACCTCAGGTGATCTGCCCACCTTGGCCTTCCAAAGTGCTGCGATTACAGGTGTGAGTCACTGCGCCCGGCCTCCCAGTAGGCTTTTTAAAATATAAATTGACAAAGCAATTCTAAAATGTTTGTAGAAATACAAAGGGCCTCGATAGACAAAATAATTTTGATAAAGAACAAAGTTGGAGACTTAACACTACCTGATTCAAGACCTAAGTATAAAGATACAATATTGAAGAGTGTCGTATTGATGAAAAAAGAGGCAAATAGGTGGAGCAAAGTAGAAATTTTAGAAATAGACTAATGTTCATGTTCTTTATATTTGACAAAACTGCAAACCTAATCTTGTGAAGAAATATAGTCTTTTCATTAGAAGGTGCTGGAACATTTTGGTAAATTGTGCTGTTGTTTTCTTGCTATGTCTCTGATCGCTTTCGGAGTAAATCTCACCTCATTAAATGTTATAGGAAGTATTACCACATATTTTTAAATTTCTGGAGGAATTTATGAACAACTGGAATTTGTTATTTCTTAGAGGGAAGCTATTTTGAATCTGAAGTTTCCTTTGTTGGCAAGTTTTAACTTCAAATTAAATGTATTTAATATTCAACATTTTTCATTAAGTTTTTAGACTTCATGTCTTTCAGAAAATTTCTCATTTCATTAATATTCTTGAGTTTATTCATATAAAGTTGTTCGAAATACTTATTTTTCTATTTAAAATCTGTAGAATTTGTAGTGGTGTTAAATTTTTTTATTCCTGATATTAGTAATTTTTGTCTTTTTTTTCCTGATCCATCTGGCTAGAGTTTATCAATGTTATGGATCTTCTCTAAGAATTAGCTTTTCATTTATTGATTCTCTCACTTTTATAACTATTGTTTCCTATTTCAGTAATTTTCTTTCCACTATTTATTATTTCTTTGACCCATCTATGTTCCATTGATTTTTTGTTGTTGTTGTTGTTGTTGTTTTTTGAGACAGAGTCTCGCTTTGTCGCCCTGGCTGGAGTGCAGTGGTGCGATCTCAGCTCACTGTAAGCTCCGCCTCCCAGGTTCACGCCATTCTCCTGCCTTAGCCTCCCGAGTAGCTGGGACTACAGGCGCCCGCCACTACGCCCGGCTAATTTTTTGTATTTTTTAGTAGAGACGGGGTTTCACTGTGTTAGCCAGGATGGTTTCGATCTCCTGACCTCGTGATCCACCCGCCTCGGCCTCCCAGAGTGCTGGAATTACAGGAGTGAGCCACAGGGCCCGGTCGTTCCATTGATTTTTTAAAAAGATATCTGGAGATTCAACATAAGGGGATTGAGTAATTTTTCTCTCAATACTCAGATAGTGTTATCCCACAAATTTAGAACTTTGTGTTTCCATTTTAATAAAATTAAAAATACTTTCTATTATTTTAATCTCTTTTTTAGTCCATGGTTTACTGAGATTTGATCTATGTTATTTAATTTCTAAAATGTAGGGATTTTTAGATACATTTTGTTACTTATTCGTAATTTAATTTTATCGTGGTCAGAGAAGATACTTTTTGTGACTTAAACCATTCTATATTTACTGAGATTTGTTTTGAGGTCTTGGATATAATCTATCGCTGCACAAGTTCTTTGTATACTTCAAAATAACGTGTATTCTGGTGGTTTGCCGTAAGTTCTATACGGTTAAGTAAGATGGGTAATAGTGTTGTTTAAATCTTCCATATCTTACTGATCTTTCTTCTACTTTTTCAGTGAGTTATTAAGATGAGCTCTGTTCATTTCATCTTGCAATTCTATCCGTTATTACAGTATAAATATTTAGGATTGTCATGTCTGTCTATCTGCTCTCTATCTGTTATTAGACCATAAACATCTAGAATTATCATATCCGCTTAATGAACTGACTCTTTCATCATTATGAAATGCATTTCTTTATTCTTTATCATCATAAGATGACTTTATTCTTAGTAATATTCTTGCTCTATAATAATATTTTACTATTAGTACAATCACTATAACTTTCTGTTTCTAGCATGACATATTTTATATTGTTTTACTTTTAACAATTTGTGCCTTTAATTATAATGTGTAATTGTTGTAGGTAGCAAATTGATAATCTTAGTGTTTTATCAATTCTTAAAGTCTCTGTCTTTTAGTTAGTATGTTTGGAACATTTACATTCACATGGTTAGTTTTCAGTCTGTTATCTTGCAAATTATATTTAACTTGTGTTTTCTTTGTTGCCCCTTTCCCCTTTCCATGACATTATTTTGATTATTTTTATTATACCATGGGTTTTCTGTGCTTTTAGATCAGCTATTAATCTTTTTTTCATTCTAATGATTGCTTTGTTTTTTTAAGTATATCTTTAACTAATTTCATTCTACCTAAGAGTGATATTATACCTCTTCCTGTATAGTCAGAGAATAACCTTAAAAGAACATAATCTCATTCCTTTCTTTTAGATACTTGTGCTCTTATTATTACATATTTTAATTTCGCATGTTATAAAACCTCACCATATTTCACTAATTTTGTTAGAACAATCAACTATCCTTCAAGAAAGTAGATAAAAATAAAAATGTATATTTACTCAGTTACAATTCTTGTGCCCTTCATTCCTTTTAGTAAATTCATAGATCTAATTGATGTAACTTTTTTTTTTCTGGTCTGTTTTTGATAGATTCTTTCGTATTTTTACTGGGTATGGAATTCTGGATTGATTTTTTTTTTCTTTTTAGTTGATAGTTATTCTTTCTCTTCATTAAAACTGTTTATCTTTTTACTCACATTTTCTCAATAGGAAATGCTATATTATTTTGATATTTTAATTTTACAAGGATAAAAATTACCTTTTCTATCTGTTTTTAGGATCCTCTTATCACTGGTTTTCACGAATTTGGTTATAGGGTACTTTGGTATACTTTCTTAATGTTTCTTTGCTTGGAATTCATTGCATTTCTTGAATCTTTGGGCTTATATTTTTTACTAATTTGTAAAAAATTTTGTTTATTATTTGGTTTGTTTTCTGTCTCTCTCTCTCTCTGTCTCTCTCTCTCTCTCTCTCTCGACATAGTCTCTCTCTGTCACCCAAGCTGGAGTGCAGTGATATGATCACAGCTCACTGCAGCTTTGACCTCCCTGGGCTCAAGTGATCCTACCATCTCAATCTCCTGAATAGCTAGGACTACAGCATGCACCACCACAAACATGCCTAGTTAATTTTTGTATTTTTGTGAAGATGAGGTTTTGCCATGTTGCCCAAACTGATTTTGAACACCTGAGCTCAAGCAATCTGCCCACTTTGGCCTCTTAAAATGCTGGTATTACAAGCGTGAGCCACTGTGCCCAGCCCATTATTTCTTAAAATATGTTTTCCATCTACCTTTATACCTTTTCCTTTAGATACTCTAATTACATATGTATTAGACTGCATGAAACTGTTGCACAATTCACTGATGGTCTCTTTTCTCAGTATTGCTTCTTTTTTCTCTTATTCTGTTCCTCCTCCTTCTTCTTCATTTCCTCTTTCTCTCGCACCTTTTTTTGCCCCTATGTTTCATTGTGGATAATTTCTAATGCTATATCTTCAAGTTTATTAATTTTTTTCTTTTGCAGTATTTAATATAAAATTAACCCTATCTTTTGTATTTTTCATTTTACACAGTATCTTTTCATCTCCAGAAGTTTAATTTGCTTTTGATAAATATATTACAAGTCTCTGCTTAGCTTTCAAGTGCAGTTATAAGTGTTTAATTTTCTTTTCTGCTAATTCTAATGTGTGAATTGTCAGTTGATTGTATGATTATAATGAAAATTTTTTGTGTTCCTATAAATATTCTTGAAATTTCCTCCCCTCCCTAGGACTCAGTAAATTGAAAATATATTGATACCTTTGAATCTCTTTATTAGTATATGTCATACATTATGACAACAGTGCTATTTCTAGGGCTAATTATTCTACTCCACTGAGACAAGTCACTTCTGTGTACTTTACCCAGTGTCTTGTGAATCTTGAGATTTGTCAGTTTTGTGGTACAAATAGGTACCATTCCACAGTCTGGGCAAGCCCAGAATACTTTTCCCATTAATCGTATTGGGTGCTTCTTTCCCCAGCCTTAGGCATTTACCTCAGTAATACGTGCTGATCCATACTCAGTTGAACACATGAAATGAGCTATCTGCAAAAGCTTTGAGTTATAAAAAAAATTCTAGCTTTTTCTTCTCCAGGATTCTATCATGCTAACTAGAGTTCCTTGGTCTTCCAAGACTCTCAGTTGCTTCTCCTCGACTCCAAGTCCTGCATCTCTGCACCAGGACCTGGAAACTCTCCTCAGACAGTAAGTTGGAGAAATCAAAGGGCTCACTTCATTTGTTTTTTATCACTCAAGGATCATCTTTCTTTCTGATTGAGAACGTCTTGTGAGCCTTGTATGTTTCATATGCCTTATTCACTGCTTTTGTTCTTTCAGTTGAGAGGATAAACACACTATTATTTCATTTTTTCAGAAGGCTATAACTGTATTTTTCCTTTTCTCCCTGATTATACTCTAATAATCCTGTCATCTCATGTTGCAACTTGAGAAATTAAAGTACCATTTTGAAGTAACTTAAAGTTGAACAATTTGTGCAGTATTTAAATTCCAGATGCATTACACAGAATGGTTAAGCCATGTAGCAAAAAGCTCATTCAAAATCTGGAATAACTTACGCTAATTTTCACTGGTACATGATTATGAGTAAAAGTACAATAGGTCCTAAAATCTTTGAACAAATGAATAAATAAATGGGTGAATGACTGAATGAATAAATGAATTATTCAATGAACAATCTATGCTTATGCATGGAAAATAGACTGTACAAACAAATTTTAAAGATGGAGTCCTAGGCCTTCTTTGTAAATTTAGAAGTAGTCTTAGTCACCGAAGGACAGCAGAAAGGTGTGCTAAACATAGAGGAATCTGATACAGAGGTGATTAGAGGACTATCAATTTAGGCTTCTTTTTAAAATGTCAGATGGCACCAAGAGAGTTTCTGTTATTCTACAAGTGTTCTACAGTTTAATGTTTTCTACAACAGAATGGCCTTGCATACTACTCAATGCCTTATAACTGATTCATGGTCCACCTTTTTCCCAATCTGTTATCTCTGATCCTTAATAGATATGGTCCGTATTGTTTGGTCACAGCTATGAGGAGTAGTAAACCTTTTTTTTTTTTTTTTTTTTTTTTTTTTTTTTGTGAGATGAAGTCTCACTCTGTCACCCAGGCTGGAGTGCAGTGGTGCAATCGCGGCTCACTGAAACCTCCAGCCTCCGGAGTTTAAGCGATTCTCCTGCCTCAGCCTCCTGAGTAGCTAGGATTACAGGTGTGCCCAGGCCCAGCTAATTTTTGTAATTTTAGTAGAGACAGTGTTTCACTATGTTGGCCAAGCTGGTCTTGAACTCCTGACCTCATGTCCACCTGCCTCGGCCTCCTAAAGTGCTGAGATTACAGGCATGAGCCACTGCACCCAGCAGAAGAGTAGTAAATTCTTTACCCTTTTTTTTTTTTTTTTTGACGGAGTTTTGCTCTTGTCACCCAGGCTGGAGTGCAATGGCACCAACTTGGCTCACTGCAACTTCTGCCTCTCAGGTTCAAGCGATTCTCCCGCCTCAGCTTCTCCTGTGGCCGGGATTACAGGCGTGCACCACCATGCCGGGCTAATTTTTGTATTTTTGGTAAAGATGTGGTTTCACCATGTTGGCCAGCCTGGTCTCAAACGCAATTTACCTTCTAAAACATTATGTCTATCATCATACCTCAAGGTATTTAACGCTTGAACTAAACATAAGGTTTAAAAATTAATAATTGTATCCTAAAAAAAACCAAACACCGCATGTTCTCACTCATAGGTAGGAATTGAACAATGAGAACACATGGACACAGGAAGGGGAACATCACACACCAGGGCCTGTTGTGGGGTCGGGGGAGGGATAGCATTTGGAGATATACCTAATGTTAAATGACGAGTTACTGGGTGCAGCACACCAACATGGCACACGTATACATATGTAACTAACCTGCATGTTGTGCACATGTACCCTAAAACTTAAAGTATAATAAAAAATAAATGCTTTGTATTACCTTGATCTAAAAAAAAAGAAGTTTTGAAGACAATATTTTTCTATCAAGAAGAGTAAGTATAAATCTGTTTTCTATTTCTGTTGACTTCAGTGGACTGTAAATGCTGAAAGGCAAAGCATTTTTTATCAGTAAGAACCAACATAATAAATATTACTGCTAAAATAGAGGGATAAGATAGGCTTTCTCAAATAATATTATGAGATTAGATTCACTGTTGTCAGAATTTTTTTTTCTGTATCTCAGTGTATTTTGGGGCCAGCTTTCCTTAACACTGTTTCAGAAAAGATGGAATAAAAATGGAAATTAAAATTTTTTTACTGCATCTCTGGCATTTCTAAACATTTATAGAACTCCCTTGTTAAATTGCATATGCAGAAATAATATTTTTAAAAATTATCCTGGAGACTTAGAAACTCTTTAATGATCGTGCTTCATGTACACAATATCATAAGTATGTAGGTTCTTTTTAAAGTTTTTAACTTACAATTTTAGGATTATTGGTTGAAACAAATTGTTCCACACCTTGATGTTATGTATCCTAATAAGACAGTTTATGTTTAGCCTTCTGCTCAAGGATCATACATTCTACTATAAAATGTTAACAATTTTAAATATAATTTTAACATAACCAGGTAATTCAACTTCAAATAAAATAAATAACATGCACACAGAAATATAAAATCATAACAGATAACCATGTGTATTCTGTTTTCATATTAATTTTTTTCGATGTAACCATTGAAGCATAATGCTAAATTAAATGAAAAGGCAAAGAAGTGAGACTCAGTGAGGAAAAACATTGTGAAATAAGGACTACGTTTTCTGAAAATCATGTCATGGCCATCTGATTATCTTACAATAAAACATATAAGTGAAATAACACGATACATAAACTTCTGCTCATGTCCATGTCAAAAAACAAGGTCTAAAAAATAATTGAAACATTTGCAATTTTAAGTATGAATTTTTATGTAACTCTAATTTTTGAAATTTACTGCAAAACTTATGGTTTCTTATTCAAAGAAATTACCTGATTTAAAAAATAGTATTGAAAATTCCACATGGAATAGAAGAGAGCATCTTCAAGTATACAGATTGACGTAAAAGAAATGCTTAGAACGGAGATGAAAATTTATCACTCCAACAAAAGGAAACATGGCTTTGCTATGTGCTATGGTTAGGATATGTGACCCCTTCAAATCTCACGTTAAAAACTTATCCTAAGTGTTCGACGTGATGCCTAATGGGAGGTGCTTGTGTCATGGGAGTAGATCCCTCAGGAATGGCGTGGTGCCATTCTCATGGTAAGGAATGAATTTGCACTCTGTTAGTTCACAGGAGAGCTAGTTGTTAAAAAGAGGCTGGCATTTCCCTAACTTTCTCTTGCCTCCTGTCTCACAATGTGATTTATCCATACACAGCTCCCCTGTACCTTCTGCCATGAGTGAAAGCAGTTGGAGGCCCTCATACAAGTACATGTTTGTGCCATGCTTCTTGTACAGCATGCAGAACCATGAGCCAAATAATCCTCTTTTTTAAGTAAATTACCCAGCCTTGGGTATTATAGCAACACAAAAATGGACTAAGACACTAGGTTTATTCATACAATATTTTAAGAAAAGATATGAGATTCAAAATATCAATCTGTAGAAGGAATAAGGGTAGATGTGGGTAGAATGGATTGATTTGGATTACACAAAAGTAGATAAAAATTAAATAAAAAAGAAATAGGGAGAACAAAGTTTCTGAGTTGTGTTATACTACAGAAGCAATTAAAGAAATATGTAATTACATGGTGTAGAGAAGATATATAAAATTGATCATTACATGCTATTACACAATGATATGGTAAGATTTGGTGACAAAGAAAATTATGAAGGAACAGGCAGTATCATAGCTTAATTTGTACCTCAACTAGAGCTTTTTTACTTCCACTCTGTTTTATATACATTCACAGGTATGAAAATTCATTGACTGCTGTTATAGAAAAGACTGTGAATGATTGCTAAAATGGAACAGTAAATAACTTATTTTGAAGAGATAAAAACTATGATTATTCCTGAGCCTTTGAATATGTTCACTTGAGAGGGAAAGTATAGTGGCATTTTCAAAATAACTCTTTAAGTATATTTCATAGAATATTATTCCACATGAATCACAATAGGAATCTGTTATTGTGGATACAAAAACTTCATTCACAATTATATCCTATTTTTACTCTTGAAGTGGAATATCAGAAATGTTATGAGATATTGACATTTTATTTAAAATCAATCCCTATTCACACATAGCTAGTAAATTGTTTCAATTTTATTGGCCCTCATGTCTACAGTATAGTAGTTTAACCCATATTAATACTTTAGTTCTTTCTGTAAAAAAAAAAAAAATTAGTCAAGTAATTGTCATGCTTTCCTAAGAGTGAAACAGTAAGCTATTATTTGATGTCCTTTAGAGTCCATACTGTTAATAATACTCAACACAGCCACAGAAATGGTAGCCAGTTGAGTTTTCCTTAAGTGATTACTATAAAGTAAGTTTACATTGACACACATTCTCAGTTAATATGTCAAATTAATATTGATCATTTCACAGTATTTTTTGTCTCACATTACAGAGCAAATCTGATCGTTTCTGCTATGGTCACTGATATTATCATTAGATAATACATTGTATGTAAATATTTGACAAAAGAATTTGTGTATCTTGTTCTGTACCCCTTGACTTTTGTCTTATACATAATATACATTTCCATATCAAATCAAAATACACACACACACAGATATATATATATATACACACACACACACTTAATATAAATTAAACTTTTTATATGTTGGCAGATTTTCTTATTATGAAATCAGGAGCCTGGATTTAAATCTCAGCTAAACCATTTCCTCTTTTTTTTTTTCTCTGAAAAACAATATTTATTTAGGGCTCAGAGAGTCAGACGAGCAAAACAATTAAATGTTCTGTTTCAATCAGTCCTGTGTCATTTAAGTTCAATAAGGAATCATTATAAAGATCTAATAGAAATGATAATATAAATAATGCGGTTTTGTATGGCATTTCAAATGTTTCCTCAGTCTAGAAGACTTAAAGTCCATCTGTCCACAGCAGATGAAAGTTCCCAACCATAAGAAGATTTAGTACAGCTCAGAAGGAAGCAGAAGGCAGGCATCCCCACCAGCTGGCTGGGGAAGGAGATCAGGAGCCTTTGCTGGTTGGAAGCAGCACAACAGGGGCTTTCTCATCTTACTTTTGTATTTATTATTTTTAATTGATAAGTAAACATTGTATAGGTTTATGGTGTAAAAAATATGTTTTGACATGTGTATATATTGTGAAATGACTACAAGCTCTTTCAGATCTTCATTACACCATATACTTAGCATTTTTATGGTGGGAACACTTCAAATCTACCCTGTTAGCAATTTTTAAATCTACAATGTATTGTTGTTAACAATATTCAATATGATGTTCAATAAATCTCTGGAGTTTTACTTTTCTTGCCTAATTGAAATTTTGTATCCTTTGACCAACATCTCCCCAATTTGCCTATCACCCACCCAGGCTCTGGTAACCACCATTCTACTCTCTGCTTCTATGAGATTTTTAGATTCTGCACCTAAGTGAGATAATTCATTATTTTTCTTTCTCTTCCTGGCAAATTTTACTTGACATAATATCCTCCAGGTTTATCCATGTTACAAATAACAGAATTTTCCTCATTTTGAGGCTGAAAGGTATTTCACTGGGTATATATACCATATTTTCATTATCCATTCATCCATTGAAGCATACTTAGTCAATTATCTGCTTATTGAATGCAAATGGAGAAATTATCTATGGAGGTTGGCTTTCACTATTCATAAGAAGGTGGTGATAGTATGACCTTCTTCAAGGGTTGATATAATACTTAAATAGGTTTATGCATGTCCATACTGTAACGTAGGATAAGCATTCAAAAAGAGCAACACTGTCAAGCTCTAAGTTAACTATTTTCTTATGCTGCTTTTTATTTTTTCTCAAATATATTTGATTTACCCTTTAAGCTAGTTTTCTTTAAATCCTTTATACATTTGATTTCAAATATTGCTGCTTATCTCACATGTATCCCTTTTCCCCAGAAATACTAATGTCCTTAAGAAAGCACTGGAAAGTTTTCCAGGTAGCTACAAATCACTCAACATTTCTTCAATATTACTCTTGCCAACTTGCCCCCAATGTATTTTAAAATAATATATTAAACACATATTTCCCTGTCCCTTTTTTCATCAGTCTTTTTTTGAGTAGTTACTTTTTGTCTCATTCTAAATGTTAATTTATGTTGTATTTTAATAGATGATGGTCTTATACAACATTCAATATGATACACGTGCTTTGCTATGGCTGTTTTATGCAGAAACTAAATAATGTTTCATCATTTATCCAAAATCATATGCTGTATTCCAAAAATTTTCCATTCTCATTGTTCTCATTTATATTTATTTGTAGTCTAAATTATCCGTATGCTTTATTAAATGCAACTATACATTCTGTACTCTGCCTTCTTTTCCATCAAAATTATTTTCACAGCTTCACTTTCCTTTTATTATTTCTGTTTTGTAGTCTATCCTTCCTACCACTCATTCAGTGTGATCAGGTTCAATGTGAGGATTATGTTTCTGTATTAGCTTTTTAGCTTAGACAAGGATAGTATATGGTTTTAGAGCTGAAAATGAACTTCAAATGCGTGAAACCAATCTACTACACTTTAGAGATCAGTAGTCTGAGAATCTCTTTCTTCTAAATAATAATAATACCAATGATAATAATAATCTCTCTTAAAACAAATGCATTTCCTGATTGATTGGTGAAAATAACACTGAGCTTTCGACAAGTGAAAAAAAATATGCAATGCATATACCTCCCCACTCCCCAAAAATGATTGCAATATTTCTGGTAGGAGAAGATTTACCAAGAAAAATTTATCTGTAATACTATTGAATTTTTCTACTCACAAACAAGTTATAAGGGATAGGAGATAAAACCTAAGGTCATCCCAAGAAAGAAACAGTCACACACCTAGGAAGAAGCTGAACAAGAAAAACTTTGCTACAGAGAAATAAAGAGCAAAAATGATTGCCGTGACATTAGAATAACATAGCATGGAGATTTTCTTTAACTGAGTACTCACAAATTGGTTTTCAGAGTTTTTTTCTCTTGTTGTCACTGTTAATTTATACAACCTGTATATATTCTTTGAAAACATCAAAATACATGTGTAATTTAAAATATTTTCTGATTATAATGTAGTTAGAAAATTGGCAGAAATAAATGCACATTTTCTCTCAAGAAGTTCAAGTTCATTCAGGCCTTAAAGAATTCCGACAATTGAAGTTCAAGGGAAAATGAGTAGCTCACATTAAAACCCAGAAAACCTGTAGGGAAACAACATACTGTGAATAGGAACCAATAGCTGGAGAAAAAAAAAATTATATCAGAGGAATTTCTCTGGAAATATTCTGTAACTCTCAACAGGAAAAAGAGGAGTCAGTATATTAAGGAGCAATATCTTTTTATATGCTCTTGAAAAAACTGTCAACATAGAAATCTATATTCAAAAAAACTGTGTTCAAGAACAAGGGATAAAGACATTTTCAGAAGCATAAAACACTAAACTATAAAGTAATTCAGTGCCTCTCATAGTTAGTATAGAGCTTCATTTATTAAATATATTCAGCTATCATTTGAACAATAAAAATATTGATGAAATTAAATACTTTGGATTTCTTCTCTTTATGCAATCATAAAAAAATCTCTGATAAGGAAAACACCCAGTTATCAAGTAATACATGTTTACCGAGAATTAAACTCAGAAGCCAGTTGATTATTTTAATTCTTAGCAAATTTTGCAAGTGTTCATACTGATGTCTGTTTCCATTACTTATATTTTCTAATATATTTAGGCTACTTTTTCAACCCAATAATTTTCTTGTGTTACTTTTACTTTCCTTTTTCTAATGTGTTACTATTAACTTTGCATTCACTTTTATAGTTGTCCTTATTCTCATTGTTTTGGCCTTATTTTGTTGGCTATTGTATTTTAGCTGTATGTTTTATATATTTTAAATATATCAATCTTGTTACTAAACAGCATTTCTATGCTGTCATCTTCCTACTCTGTCTCTCTTTTACTCTTAAAATGCAAATATTTTATGCATGTCACCTATAGGAATTGGCTACATATTTCTATCATTTTCTTATTAGTCTATTTATAATAAAGTATTAATTCCATTCATGGTTTCATGAGTATTCAGATATTTTGCCTTAATCTGTGTATCATCTCATGATCTTAAAAGAAAAACGATGATATGCTTTGTCATAACATAATATTGTTTAATAGCTGAAGACTCCATGTGATTTATAATTGCCATTGCATGGGACAGTTTAGCTGGCTATTTTTAACAACCTATGACAGCCCCTTTACCTCATGTTTAGTCCCCTTGACGTTTTGAAATTTTAAAATACTTCCTGCAAAATCCATAATACACTGTTAATACTATATTTTTTTGGTTTTATATGTAAAATTCTTTAATTTCAATGCCCCTCTTAAAAGTCATTTTATCTTTTTTAATGCTCAAAGTTTATTCAGCTTCTAATCTCCAGAATTCAGCTGAGACCATTACACTCAGATATTTTTATTTTTCAATAGTTTAAACATATTGCTATTATTTGAAGATAAAAGTAGTAATACCTTAGATGTGCAAACAAGTGAAATTTCCATTAAATTTATTGTACAAAGTAAAATTTAGTATTAATATGTTTTGAACTTAAAAGGTATATTCAGGTTTGATTCAAAGTGGTGCTCCTGAAGAAATCATCTACACTGAAGCACTTTTCACTTTCCTTAGATCCCTATGATTTAAAGTTGAAACAAGTTAGAGAATTAATTTCTCATCATAGCCAAATATTCAGAAATTATAATAGTTACTAATAGATGTTTAAAATAATTCCCCAACGTGTAAGATATGCACAATAATGAAATCAAAAAAGTGTGAGATTTATTGGCAAAATGATTCCTCCCTCAACTCACTTATTTAGTGTGTGTTCATAAGTAAAATACTTACTTTAAAATTTCATTTTGCTACATTTAAAATATATTTTTTAATTACAAGTGTTTTATGATGGTTAAATTATTTATAATTTGGAAAGTGCCTAGTACTTAGCAAATACCATCTTATTTTCATTTCTTTTCTTACGTCACTGTAGTGCTTCCCCAAATTTCTTGATTATCAGAAGTACTGATACTCACTAAAACTTAGATTTCTCGATCCTACCTCACAGTTACTAAATCAGAATCTTCTGTAAATCTGTAAGACCCAGCATATATTTGTTCCTTAAAAAGTCACTGATGCAGGTCCCAGTTGAGATCACAGTTTGATCTATCTTCTAATAAGTGGTAGAATATATTAAAAATGGCAAAACTATTCCATGCTAGTTTTGTTGAAATATTTAGAATTCATTTGCTTTTTCTTTGTTGGTTATCATAACAGCACTTCTGTAATTTGTTTCCTTAAATGGCTTTTTATCTAAAGAAGCCTTATGTAAAAGTGTAGAGCCATCTGGATATTTTCCAGAATAAAACATGAGAAGCAATTACATTGAAATGTCCTGTGGAAAGTTTGCTCATTCACCTCTTCTCATTCCATACTATGAATCAGTGATAGATAGTTATTCAAGTAATATATCATGTACTTTTGTAATAAAGAAACTGTTGTTTTAGAAATAGTCAACTAACTGTACTGATATTTCAGCTGAGGGAAGTAATGCCCAACAGATGCACACGAAATAATACATGCCTAAACCCCAGCTCTAATTCTTGCAAAATGTGTGATTTTGGACCGTTTGTTTAACCCCATGTAACGTAAAACTTAGTATATTAGAAATGAAAACCATGATATCTATATTAAAAGTCCATTTTGAGGATTATATCAATTCCCATTTTTATGTACCTGTTATACATATTTAAAGTTCCCCGCTCCTAGATTTGAAACTAATCAAATGCTTGAGGGTATTTTTTGAATGGAATTCTACTGCAATTTAATGAAGTACAACTTAAAGTCCATGGATTTCAACTTTCTGTACAACGCTGTTTTATACAGAGGATATCTGTTTCAGAATATTTCAGGACCTTTTCTAGTCTACTTAGAATCTAAATACATTTCAACTTCTAGTCTACTACACATAAGTTATTGAATTGCTTTTTCCACAAATTTGTCATTCCACAATCCATAAAGAATAATTCAGAATAGTAGATAAAAGTAGAAAAATAGAATTTAAAACTGAATTATATGTAAAATAAAGTAGTAGGTTAAATGAAAAAACCTGAAAGTTCTGCTGTTGTTAAAAAATTGCTATGTATCAGGGAAGTACTAGAATGTGACTAGATTCAAAAATGATAAGTAGATTCAAAGCTTCAAGAGATGTTTTAAACAATTGAAGTAGCAAAGGCTATTATTACGTATGTGTATTTTAAAAACAAAAACTAAATGTTCAAAATTTAAATTTATAAATTATGAAAAATTCAGATAGTACATAATATATGAACAATATAGTAAATTTAAAGAATATAGTAAAAAGCACATCAAACCTACATAAAGCTTATACCTATTAACTACTAAATACCATGACATTTAATATATATTTGAATTGTATTATGTATATATATTTTTAGAGCTTTTTCCTGAACATAATAAAATATAAAGTGAAGAATTAAAATTAAAATCTATATTGGTGTGCAATTAAACATTTTTGAACATAATATATTGTGGCCAAAACTCTATTATAATATGTAGTTCAACGAAGATTAATATAGATTAAATAGAATTATCATGCTTTAATTTTTGAAACAATTTTCTAGTTTTGTATATGTAGGTTGATTTTTGTTTTCCATATTAGAAACAATATAGGAATGATAATGCTTAAAATACACACCTTGCACACTTGTCCTGTCATTTCCTTAGAATAAATTATAAAACTCATAATTCTCAGTCCAAAGATCATCCAGGCTTAAAATGAAATAAAACCTGCAGATGTCATTAATAAATTTAATGAAAGATAATCACGATAAAAAATAGCACATGGTATATAACAATGTATATATAAAATTATATGTGTTTGCACGTGCATTTTTATTTTAAAGAGAAATGAATGAAAATTGTTCACCCAAATGTGTTTTGTTTATTATGGGTGCTGGGATTTCAGGAAATCTCTCCTTGCTGTTTATATTTACTAAATTCAACAATTATTTTACATTTAAAAATCACACAGAAAAACACTTGTAATTTGCAGTATTAAGAAAACAAAGAAAGTGAAAAGAAACAAAGAACAGTGAAATAAATGAAAAAAAATCAGCTCTCTTCTAAAGATGATATAATAAGAGATGCCAAAATGTGTTCAATACATTAGTGTGTTGTATATTTTCAATAGCTTCATACACATTTATTACTTTAAAAACACATATCTACAGGTTATTTTCCATTATTAAGCTACACTTGTGCCAAAACAGTTTGAAAAAAATTTTTTCTAGCTTGAGTATTGTTAGGCTTTTAGACTCTGCTCTCTGGATTGATGAAATTTTTTTTTTCCTCAGGATAGCCCAAATGTATCCTTGGAGAGTGAAAGAATAAACTGGGATATTTACTAGAATGTCTGAGTATCCTATATCAAAACAAACCCACAACATATATTTGCACAAATATCCCAATATAGATGAATCTTAGCGCTATACTATGATCACAACAGGAAACAAACCATTGCATGAAGCATTATACACTTTTTATAAAGTTAGAAACTACAATACCACATGTATTCTTAAGGAATACACTGTAAAATAAATAAAGGGCAAGGTGAATGCAAGATTCCTGATGAGGGACTCTTGAGTAGAGGAAAGGCTGGAGCTTGTGACAGTGCAGTGGCACTGGGCACCAAATAGTCAGATGTTAGACATGGTTATTTTCAGACTGTAGCTTTGGTTTTCAATGATTAATATTTATTGCAAAATGTCTTAAATAATTAATTAAACAAAACTAAGTCATTAATAGATAAATGATAAGAATGCGATAAGAAGAATTGTAATTAGCAGGAGACAAAGCAATAATCGTATTTTATGAATTTAATTTCTATTTTAATGATTACTATTGTTTGAATTATTTTCAAATACTATGTAGGCTGTTTCTCCTTTATCAGTTGCCTCTCCCCTCCATTGTTCTATAGTGACACTTATCTTTTTATTATTTTTAATAATATCAAATTCTATTTTTTTCTTGAAGGGGGATTTACTAAGGACATTCAATTATAGTCTCTCTCTCTTTTGTCACTCTTTCAAACTTTGTGATAAGTGAGATGAACTGCGTTTTAATTTTAAAATCATTTACGTGGAGATTCTTGTCCCTTTACAAAAGATGTTTCTATTACATACCTTTAGAAATGAGGCCGTTTTAAAGTTATTTCAAAGCAATAATTGTTTTTGTTTTATCAACAAATATTTAGATCATTGCTACAATTTGTGTTTGGCTCTCAATTTATAAACATATGCTAGGCATCTTTGCCTTATTTAAATAATTGTCCCTCAATCTTTAAGAGTTCTGGAAAATGTATTTAGCTAGCCATAAGATATCAATGGCATTTAGATTCATTTAGCTGCATTAGCAAATACCAAAAAGGAAAGTTGTATTTGGACTGCCTAAAACTATTTATGTCACTGTGTTTTTAATCTGTAACATACACAGTAATATATGTTCTCACAGATAGAAATCTACAGAGAAAATAAGATAGGACATTTATGAAAATTAGAATATTTATCAAAAGTGAACTGCATTTCTGTATGTGTTCACTGAGCTTAAATGTTAATGAAATTCTTCCTTTCAAATTATATCCACAAGGAAAATATTAGATAAGACTATGTTATCAAGGATAAAAAATGATTGAATTGCTGGTTTTACACTTAATAATCTGGAACAGAGATGTAGCTCAATGGGGAAAAAAGGGTATTTCAGATGTTACTGTTGCTTAGATAAAATGATATTTCATTCAAAGAAATAATCAACTTTGTGCACATTTGAAAAAAAAAAGATTTCTTTTCATCCCAAATGCCAACTGAACTGTACATGCTGACATTTTGAATAAAGGAAAGTAAAAATAAAAATTGGTAAGGAAAATAATACTTATCAAATTGTACTCTTCCATTACTTAGAACAAGCTCTCAGGATGCTGACTTTTATTATATTTTAAGTGTTCCAATTTAGCTTCATTCAAATTGTTTAAACAGTTTTTAGCAGAATTAAACATATTGTTGCACAAGAGTTCTTGTTATAAAATCTCAGTAAAATAGAAACATGGAGACCTCCCCTAACACCAACCTCAATCTGCCCAAATCCAAAACTACTGCAAATTTATGACTGCAGTAATGGCAACATTCTAGTCTAGACCAATTGTTTCCCGAAGAGAGAAAAGTTTAAATAGTGTTGTTGAATATTTTGTAATTTGTTGTTCCTTTTAGATCATACAAGTAAAGCTGAAGGAACTGACTAAAATTTGAATTATCAAAGAAATGGGGGTAGAAGATAATAGAGAATTATAATAGTAGTAAGTGTAGTTTATCCCACATTTAATGCCTGAGATTTCTACCAGTTTTATTTCTGGTCAATATAAGACTGTTGCTTTATTATAGTCAAAATAAATTTTTGCTTGAGTCATGATTTATTATCTTATTTTGAGAATATACCAATATCAATTAATTCTCTACTTTTTTAAAATATGTGCATCAAAATATAGTTATTAATGTTTGAATCCAAAGTAACTGAAATAGGACACTTCCAGGAACAATAAATTATAATGACTGATAGATATACAGAAAGACATATGGAATGGGAGACAGGAGAAAAGATTTATAAATACACAAACATAAATAATCTTCATGCTAAAATACTAAAATGAGTATTCATTTGTATTAGCAATTACTGTTTGTTTCCTACATGTCATTCTAATACATCCCAATTCCCCTGAATAGATGAAACTTCAAAAGTTCATGTGATCTATTCATCCATATGTAATTGCTATAACCCATTTCATTGGCAACATCATTGTTATATCATTATGAATATTCATCTAACTTAATAGAAGCTTATATAATTTGTAATTAATTTTTATCTACTTATTATTCAGGGTGTAATCAAGGAAACAGAAATGCTTCTAACTACAGGCTTACTTTGTTTTATTGTGCTTCACCTTTTTGCATTTTGCAGACATTGCAGTTTTTACAAATTGAAGGTTTGTGGCAACCCTGCATTGAGTGAGTCTATCAGCACCATTTTCCCAACAGAATGTGCTCACTTTATGTCTCTGTGTCACATTTTACTTCTGTATCTCTGGTAATTCTTGCAATACTTTTTCATTATTACTGTATTTATTATGATGATCTGTAATCAGTGATTTTTAATGTTACTATTATAATTGTTTTGAGGTGCCACATACTGCACCCATATAAGATGTCAAACTTAAAGGATAAATGTTGTGTGTATTCCGACTGCCCCACTGACTAGCCATTCCCCCATCTCTCTCCCTTTCTTCAGGAATCCTTATTCCCTAAGACGAGATAATATTAAAATTAGGCCAATAATAACCCTACAATAGTCTCTAAGTGTTCAAGAGAAAGGAAGAGTCCCATGTCTCTCACTTTAAATCAAAAGCTAGAAATGATTAAGCTCAGTGAGGAAGGCATGTTGAAAGTTGAGATAGACTGAAAGCAGGTCTCTTGTGCCAAATAGTTTGCCAAATAGTGAATGCAAATGAGAAGTTCTTTAAGGAAATTTAAAGTGCTACTCCAGTGAATACATAAATGATAAGAAAGCAAAACAACTTATCGCTGATATGGAAAGTTTGAGTGGTAGGGATACAAGATCAAACTAGCCACAACATTATCTTAAACCAAACCTTAATCCAGAGCAAGGCCCTAACTCTCTTCAATCTATAAAGGGTAAGAGAAGTGAGGAAAGTGCGGAAGAAATGTTGAAGCTAGCAGAGGTTGGTTCATGAGGCTTAAGAAAAGAAGATGTCTTCAAAACATAAAAAAGTACAAAATGAAGTAACAAATGCTGATGTAGAAGCTGCAGCAAGTTATCTAGATGATCTATTTAAGATAATGGATGAAGTTGGCTACATTAAACAGCAAAATTTCCATGTAGACAAAACAGCTTTCTATTAGAAGATGAAGTCCTCAAGGACTTTCAGAGCTAGAGAGGAGATGTCAATTCTTGGCTTCAAAGCTTCAAAGGACAGGCTGACTCTCTTGTAAGCAACTAGGCAGCTAATGACTTAAGGTTGAAGCCAGTGCTCATTTGCAATTTGAAAATCCTAGGGCCCTTAAGAATTATGCTAAATCTTCTCTGCCTGTACTCTATGGAGTACAGAACAACAAAGCCTGGATAAAAGCACATATGTTGACGTCATGGTTTACTGGATATTTTAAGCCATTCTTGAGACTTATTGCTGAAAAACAACAACGAAAGAGGTTCCTTTCAAAATATTCCTGCTCATTGGCAAGGCACCTAGTCACTCAAGAGCTCTGATGAAGATGTACATTAAATTATTGTTAGTTTCACGCCTGTTAGAAAAACATCTATTCTGCAGCCCACGAATCAAGTAGTAATCTTGACTTTCAAGTCTTATTATTTAAGAAATGAATTTCATAGGCTGTGGCTGCCATAGATAAGAATTCCTCTGATGGAACTGGGAAGACTATATTGAAAACATTCTGGAAGGGACTCACAATTATAGATGTCAATGGCATTAAGAACATTTGTTACGGAGGTCAAAATACCAACATTAACAGGAGTTTGGAAGAAGTTGATTCCAACACTCATGGATGAATTTGAGAGATTTCAGACTTCAGGGGAAAGAAGTAACTGCAGACGTGGTGAAAATGGCAAAAGAGCTAGAAGAAGTGGAGACTGAAGATGTTATTAACTTGCTAAAATCTCAGGATAAAACTGTAACGAATGAAGATTTGCTTCCTATCAATGAGCAAAGGAAGTGGTTTTGAAATGAAATCTACTCCTGGTGAACACACTGTGAATCATGTGGAAATAACAAAGAATTTTGAATTTTATGTAAACTTATTTGATAAAATAGCAGCAGGGATTGAAAGAACTGACTGCAATTTCAAAAGAAGTTCTTTCGTGGGTAAAATGCTAACAAACGTCATTGCGTGTTACAGAGAAATCTTTCATGAAAGGGTCAATTGCTGTGGCAAACTTCATTGTTGTCTTATTTTAAGGAATTGCCACAGCCACCCTAAATTTCAGCAACCACCACTCTGATCAGTTAGCAGTCATGAACATTGTATCAGTTTGTTATCACACTGCTAATAAAGACATACCCAAGATTGAGTAACATATAAAGAAACGAGGTTTAATTGACTCACAATTCCACATATCTTGGGAGGCCTCCCAATCATGGTGGAAGGCAAAAGAGGAAAAAATGTCATGTCTTCCATGGTGGCAGGCAAGAGATAGCTTGTGCAGGGGAACTCCCATTAGATCTTGTGAGACTTATTCACTACCATCAGTTTGCATCCTGAATGGACTAAAAGTAGGTGCTTATGTAAAAGGGAAGAAATGTAACTATGTGTGGGAAAACAGGAATTAAGAAGTGGTAAGGAAGAGAAGTTGGTAAACAGGAATCATGACGGATGAGGGGTCTGGCATTTTATTGTCTGAGGCTCAGTTAACTTAGGAAGTAATTCAGATAAGACAAATGTAAGTTTCAAGCTTTAAGACCAGGAGGGTCAATATCTATGCCTGTCCAAAAAACAGTAAACATCAGTTCCATGGGCCAGTTGTGGCAGTTTCAGTGCTTTCTTTTATTTGCGGTGATGAACACCTCCAGTGTCTTTTAAAAAAATATTTCATACCATAATAGCCTTCATTTTAGAGTTAAGGGAGTCAGTGTGGAGATTTTAACAGGGGTAAAACATATGTATTCAAATTCTGCATTCAGGAAGATAAGAAATTAACTATAGCATAAGTTTGTAGGTTTTCTCTATCAACTAATCCATTAACCCTCACTCTTGACTGGTAGACTGCAGTAGTTTTTCATTTACCCAGGTATAGCAATAACTTTGAGTATGTTTCTAATAATTTCCCCAATGTCTTAGTATTTCTCTTTTCCTAGTATACAGTCACCTTGGTCAGAAACTGCATGTCCCTTTGTGGAGGGGTGGAGAAAATTTTATAAAATAAACTAATGGCTTGTTGGTTCTTTTTTCAAAGAAACCCAGTATCTCCATCAATTGAGGGCCTGGAAGTCATGAAACTGAATTTGTTAGGTCTAGAAGTTGAGTATGGAGCTATGACTTAATTTTTCCTGATAGAGATAATCCCCATCTGTTGATACTATGGAAGGTTTGGTTAAATGGTTAAGAGGTGGCTGAGTAGCACATGGATATAATAAATCCACTGCAACATGCCAACTGCCAAAGCCTTCATACTCTCTTCTCTGCAAGGGCTTCTTAAAATGTAGTTCACATGGATAGAAGGCAGGATATTCTATGAATATGAGTTGTAAAAAACTGGTTTCAACAAACTAAAAAAAAATTAGTATTTCCTTCCTTAAGAATATAAGCAAGAAGCCAGTAGTATTAGTAGCATCTGTGATTTTTGTCACCAATAGAAAAATGTACATGATATTATGCTTATATTTCAAAATACTATTTATTTATAGATAGATATCACTACTTTGAAGACACAGAAGTTGCAAATCTATTATGTTTTGTTACTAATATATTATTAAACACCACACATGTTTAACTGTACCACATTTTTATTTTTATTTTTATTTTGAGATGGAGTCTCACTCTGTCACCCAGGCTAGAGTGCAATGGCATGATCTTGGCTCACTACAACCTCCGCTTCCTGGGTTCAAGCGATTCTTTTGTCTCAGCCTCCCAAGTAGCTGGGATTACAGGTGCACACTGCCACACCCAGCTAATTTTTTGGGTTTCAGTAGTGATGGGGTTTCACCGTGTTGCCCAGGCTGGTCTTGAACTCCTGAGCTCAGGCAATCCACCTGCCTCAGCCTCCCAAAGTGGTAGGATTACAGGAGTGAGCCACAGGGGCAAGCCTAACTATACCACATTTTTAAATTCACACATATAGTCAACATAATTAGGTTTTTAAAAAAAAAAAAATCTTTAGTATTTTACCTTATCAATGTAAAAAGTTATTTGCTACAGAGGTTCATAGCTTAACCAGATAGAGGGATTCATGGCCCCTATGCACACACAGGTACACACACCCCCACCCAAAGGTTTAGAATCCCTACTCTAATATATACAAGGGCATTTTTGGCATCTCAGGATTAGTGATCATGGATAACCATTGAATAAAATCTTCAATTAGCCAAGACAGCTGTTAGAACCATCCAAGCGCTCAAGCTAACACATTAAAATTTGCCTCTAAGGTAAGTACAGCCATATCAATAATTTAAGACATATATGTTCTCCTTGATCTAACACCCTTACAACCTATTAATTTACAAACATACTTTCAAGTCCTTACCAACGCAAATTGGGAAAATTTTGCAGTCCCTTTGTTGTACAGGCTATCTTCTTCGGAGGAAAATTTGTAATTCTCCCTTTTAGGCATGATGTGATGTAACTTTCATTATAGGTTTAAAAGCACTGACTAATGTAGTTCTTAAATATAATGAGCTTTGCCTTATCAGAAACAGCCACGTCAGAAACATAAATAATTTTTATGATAGGGAAAGCTAATGTCCTCCAAGAGAAGGCTTTCAGGAGAGAGTCAAGCACGAAGTGAGCAGGCAATAAGACCTCTTCCATCATTGTTGCCATCACTGTCATCATCATCACCATCTTCTTAATTTCAAGAACTGATTTTTATTTTAATATTTCAAAATTGGGGAAGGGAAGGAAACATCAAAACATGAAAAAAATGCAGTTAATTTCTATCTGAGTACCAGACTAGCAACATTTTCTTGCTACTCTGTAACATCTCTATGTTTTGGCCTTACTGTCTCTGCCAACAATCCACGATTCTCAAGAAAACTTTAAATTGCACTTTTGTGCCAGGATTCTCATCCCCCTTTGGTGTTTCCACTGTATTTTGTGTAACGATTCACTGTTCTCTATTTATCAGATTTATCTACTCATCTGTATTAAGGTGATTATGTTCAGTGTTTTCACTCCTGTTTTTTAAAACTACTGCTCCAGTCTCTCTGGGTTGATTCACTCAAATGAAGGAGTAGATGGGGGTAGGATGCTTCCAACATTTTCTTCTCTATTTATACTGTGGCACACAGGGGAGTGAACATACAGATATAATTTTCATTTTCAGTGGTGATTTGTAGGAAACATGTATAGCCCGTTTTCCAAGCCATCCTGACTTAAGCTGTATTCATATTGAGCTCTACCAGAACTTTACTTTAAGATAGGGGGATAAAAGCATCAGTACTTGCCCAGCCATCAAGAAAGTTGACATTTATAACTTGGCTATTGATTTCTATGTGTATCTATCTAACAGTTATAGTCCTAGAAGAGGGAAAGGATGATTTAGGCAGATCATAAATCTCTAAAAACATCTGGACCTCACCCTTGATGATGCACATATAGCAGCTAAGATGAACTACTTACCTGTGCTTCAGAAGGCCTCAAATTCATCAGGTTAAACTTGCTAGAGGATTAGGAATAACTGAGGATAATTGAGGAAAATCAGATGATGTGCAGTATCTTTAAAGTTAGAATAAACTACTCTAAATAACATTCTTCTTAAACTACCCATATAAATATTCAGAAAATTTTTAAAAAAGATATTCCCTAGGATTTTAAAACCTGGTAGAGATTGATAACAAGGAAAATGCTATCTGCACAAGCTACAAAATCAATACCTTTTGAGCAACTTGTGTTTTCTATAGACAAAAAAGAATCACTGTTTAAAGAAATGAAAAGACATGCTTCTTCCAAGAATCCATTATTTTCAGTGCCTTTCCTGAAATGATGCTTACCACTCCTGCAGACTAAACTAGATAAAATATAATTTCAAAGTACAGTAAAGACAAAAGGCAAAATAGAAATCTAATTCTTAGAAGGCATGATGGAATAAGATGAAACTGTGAGAGCAATCACTTTTATCAATAGAGGGAAAATGCATTAAGGTGCTGTTTTAGTTTGTTCTTGCACTGCTGTGAAGAACTACCTGAGACTGGGTAATTTATGAATAAAAGAGGTTTAATTAACTCACAGTTCTGCATGCTGTACAGGAAACATGGTTCAGGAGCCTCAGGAAACTTACAATCACCGCAGAAGTGCAAAGGGAAAGCAAGTATGTCTTCACGTGGCGCCAGGAGAGAGAGAAAGAAAGAGAAAAGGGGGAGGTGCTACATACTTTCAAACAACCAGATCTCATGAGAACTCTATCATGAAACAGCCTGCAGGGGATGGTGCTAAACCATTAGAAACCACCCCCATAATCCAATCACCTCCTACCAGGCTCCAACTCCAAGAATGGGGATTGCAATTCAACATGAGATTTGGATGGAGACAGAGAACCAAACCACATCAGGTGCATAATATATATACTATTTTTATCACCAATTTTCTTTGTTTCTGCAATGTAATTTTTTAAGTCAAGATTTGAATGTTATTCTATAATGTTCAGTTTTTTTTGTACTTTTTTTTACTTTGATTACAGCAAAGCAACAAAGGATTGCAATAAAAGTCACATAAC
Organism: Homo sapiens; assembly: GCF_000001405.40. NCBI lineage: Eukaryota > Metazoa > Chordata > Mammalia > Primates > Hominidae > Homo > Homo sapiens. The sequence goes on along the minus strand of NC_000005.10, from coordinate 99,658,684 downwards.
TTATTGTATCTGTTATCTTTGCCCTCCAATATATGCATGCTAGTCAAGATATCTTAAAGTGACAAATTTGAAAAAGATACAATGGTGTATTAAAAAATTACAGTATGTCTTAAATACCAAATATCATTTTCCATATCCTATGTTTTAATCTAGTATGTCAAATGGACACCTCTGTTATGTTGAGGGGAAATCTGCTACTGAATTTGTTGATTACACTAAACAATGGCAATATATATGAGGCCAGTTTGTCAGTTTGGCCTCTCACTTCCAGGTTAAAGCATGTATAGATTAGTTTCACTATTTCATTGATGAATGATGTTATGATCAAGTCTGGCAAGTCATTTTGTTTGTTAAACCTGTCAAAACAATGAATTGACCATACCAGAGTATATTTTTTCTCATTAACAGTTGCTACCTGCTCTAGTTTAAGTACATGTGATGCTACAAATTCTCAAGAACCATTTACCTAAATTTAGTCAAGGACAAAGACAGCCTAATGAGGTGAGATAATCTTTTCTTACAATGTTTATGGCACAAATTGATTATTTATTTAAGTAAAAACATATTTACATCAAATATAACGTAAGTTTTGGTTATCGCCTCAGAAGAGTATCATGACATTAATTGCAAATACTTAGGGCAGTAAAAGCTTCCTCTAAAAAACTTAGTAAGATAATTTCAAATAAACTACCAAAGAGTCTTACAATGGAAAATTAATATAATTTTTAATGTTTAATTTCAATATTACATTATTCTACCTGGCATGCTATTGTATTATGTTTTTTTCTGTTATTTTGTTCTTAATTGTATACATTTTTCTTGCCATAGACCTATTAGAATTCTTTACTTGATATTTTTTGATTTATTGATAGCTACTTATTTTCATATTTGCAACAATTTTTAACTCTCTCTCAAAAATTTTACATACATATCCCCATACACACTCCTATTAATATAATGTATCTAGCAAGAGAAATAGGCACTTATAAACCACACCTCCACTTGCAAAAGTTTAAATTCATTTAACAGTGAAATTTATGATATATTAGGAAATTTTCTGAAATTGTAACTGATCATACCCTAATTTTTACCACTTCTCCCCACCTAATTGTTCAGCTTCTTCTCTATGAGAGTTAATAGGAGTGACATCTGTGCTGTGGACTTATCTACTAAGACCATAAGACAGATGTTCTAGAGGATGCTCTACAGATGCAGTCTGCAATTTAAATAAACTGCTGCCCAGCTCACAGTTGGATTATAGAAACTTTTACCATACTTTAGGGAAAGTTTCACTAAGTATAATGTTGGTGAGTTTTTTTATTCAATTATATCCTTATCAAAATATCAAAATGGATATCTTATTAAAACAACAAATAATATTTAATAACAAGTATTTTATATAAATATACATAATTTGATTATGATTTAGAAATTACAGATTCAGTGTTTACATAGAATATTCTCAATTAAACTTTGACTTTAATAAAAGCACTATTAACTTACTGGAGTTTGTTCTCAGGTTTGTGTAGTGCAAACTCATAATTAAGTCCTTTCTAGGCTTACCCAGTCTTATTTGATTTTAACTGCAATACCATGATTTTCAGCCAAATAAACTACTCAAAACTGTTTTCTGGTACAGCTTTTTATCTATATAATTCAATTTTTAAATACAGAAATTTATAATGAATATACCACTTACCTTTATAGGAGATATAAATAATTCCTTTAAACCAACATCTATTTTTTAATTTAATTTTTTTTTACATTTATTTTAGATTCAGGCATGTAAGTACAGGTTTGTTACATAGGTAAACTTTTGTCATGGGGTGTTATACAGATTATTTCACCACTCAGGTATGAAACCTAGTACCCGTTAGTTATTTATCCTGATTCTGTCTCTCCTCCCACATCCACCCTCCGATAGGCCCCAGTGTGTGTTGTTCCCCTCTATCTGTCCATGTGTATATATATATATTTTATGACATGATTTTTCATATTTCTTCTGTTAAATTGAAAGGAAAATGTCTGGATCTTGGGGTACTATTCATCAATGCAAACAAGTAGAACAATTTGTTCCCCAACACTACTTTCTGAATAAAAAGGCAAAATATTAACTCGAAAAAGAAAAAAAAAAAGGAAAATAGCATCTACTACCTTCAAATAGTAACACACCAAATTCCACATTGGCCTTGAGAAAACTCATGAACTTTCCATTCTGCATTAACCATTACTTTCTCAGCCCCGCAGGGAAATATTTTAAAATAAACATTATGATTTTAAATATCATAATAACATGTAACTTTTTATGATTCTTTTATTTATATATACTTAAATATATCTATTCACATATTTTATATATATATATGTATGTGTGTCTGTGTATCCTTGGGATAGTGAAATATTTCTTAAGTTAAAGACAGAAATGAAATAAAGAAGAAAAATGAAAAGAAAAAAGGAAGATTTTAAAGAATTTTTTTAACGATCAACTTTTCCATTCAAAGTCATCTTTGAAGCTCACATCATAAAAGATTAATTTAATAAAAAGCCACAGTAACCCCGAAAAAAAGATGTGAAGTATTTATTATGTGTTTCTATAATAATTTTTAGAGAAAGTGCTTTAAAATATTTTTCCCTTAGTCTGGAATTTTGTACTAGTTTTCAGTTTATAGTTATTTTACTAGAAATATAAGTTGAACATGGCCAGCTATGACTTGTTTCTTGAGGTACTATACCTAAAGCATTTTAATTAAAGTTTAATATAGAATTTTGCATGATAAAAGTCAAAATGAAAATTTTATGCCATTATCAGAGAAAAATGTTGGCCAAAGTAAAAACATGTAACTATTTCATGTAGCAAACAAATGACAAATTCATTCTAAACTTGACCTTTCAAAAAGTCTGTATTTTCCTTACAACATTACATATTTGTATTTACATTTTTGTTAACTATCAAAATTATGCAACCAATATTTGAAAAAAAAAAATGTGTATTGTGTGTTTGACCCAGGCAGATTTATCAGTGCAGGCAAGAAACAACCATATTGGCCAGTTTCAACCATTTTATGGCTGTAGTTATTTGAGAGCTATCTTGGACAATTTCTGTACAACAGAACATATTAATATTGGAGGTACTAAGTGATTATGGGGTAAAACTATAAAATTTTGAAAAATGACTGGGGAACGTATGTTTTATTTCTAACAATATCAGACTCTGTCCTTTTCTTGTAGACTTTATATTCTCCAAATAGATTGTTCTGACTTAAACCCTGGTGTCTTTACTTATCCTTTACAACCTGTCTAGAATTCCTATGCCCCCCAATACTGTTAACTTTCCAAGTCAGCTCAAACATCACTTTTTATCATTCCTAAGAAATAGCCAATCTGTCTTGAACATCATGGCAGAGTGTACATATTCCTAAACCGTTATTATGAAAACCGTGTATTTATTATGACTTATAATCTGTTTGAAGACTTAGACTGTGAACATTTTGAAAAAAGAAAGAGTTGTATATGTCTCTTTTTTATTCATAGGCTTAAGTCAGTGCTAGGCAAAATGTAGAAACTCAATAAATGTTTGTCAACATACAAGAGAAAAAAGAGAATAAAAATAAGAAAGAGTCAAATGATATGTGAAGGAGAAAGAAGAGGGAAAAATGAGACAAAAAGAACATTAACTTGATGGCTGTGAAAATCCGATATTTTAAGAATATAAGGAAAGGCTACATGGTAGAAATCTGAAGTTGATTATATGTTCTCATACATTTGAGAGAGAAATAATTGAGGGATTTTAAATTATGAAATATGATTAAGAATGGCCCTTTGAATTTCCTATTTTAGTAGTTTCATATTATACTGAGCATTGCTGGAAGAAACAGGTATACTGGGGCCATGGTCTCCATATACATCATGAACAAGAGTAACTCATTTTATCTTCTTTAACTTTGGAGCTTCTAGATAAAATTTTATTTGAAAAACAAACAGTGATTCTAATTTAGGAATATAAAACTCTTAGTGAAAAATTTCCATTTTACTAACATGGCAAGTGAGATTCAGAAATGTTAATTGGCTTGCCCAAAATTCTAAATGTAAAATGCAAACCTACAAAATTTCTACAAGATAACATAGGAGAAAATCTTGGTGACTTTGAATTAGGTGATGACATTTGAGATATGATACCAAAAGCACAGTCCCTGAAATAAATGATAGATATGTTGAACTTCATTAAAAATCAAATATTCTTATCTCAAATGACACTGTTCAGATAAACAGGCAAGCCACAGAGTAGGAGAAAATATTTGTTAAATATATTTTTGATGAAGGACTTGTATCTAAAATATGCAAATAACTCTTAAAATTGAAGCATAAGAAAACAAATGAATTAACAGGCAAAAGGCTTAAAAAGACGCCCCACAAAAGGCAATATACAAATGGAAAATAAGCACATGATAAAATGCTTAGTATTATACATAATTAGGGAAATGTAAATTATAACATCAAGATAGCATACATGCCTATTGGAATGGTCCAAATTCAGCATACTGACAACACCAATCTACACCAACAATCTACCAGTTCAAATGCTAATCTTTCAGAAACACCATCACAGCCGCTCCCAGAAATGTTTTACCAGAGGTCTGGGCATTCCTTAGCCCAGGGAAGTTGATATGCAAATTTAACCATCACAGGCCCGGGCAAGATGGCTCACCTCTGTAATCCTACAGTTTGGGAGGCTGAGGTAGGTGGATCACCTGAGGTCAGGAGTTCGAGACCAGCTTGGCCAACATGGTGAAACCCCATCTCTACTAAAAATACAAAAATTAGCTGGGCATGGTGTTGGGCATCTGTAATGCCGGCTAGTAGGGAGCCTGAAGCAGGAGAATGGCTTGAACCCGGGAGGTAGAGGTTGCAGTGAACCAAGATCATGCCATTGCACTCAAGCCTGGGCAACAAGAGTGAAACTCCGTCTCAAAAAAAAAAAAAATTAACCATCACAGATTGTAACAAATGTTCACTCTAATGAATATGTTAATAATAATGGGAATGTGGGGAGATACCAGGTGAAGAGCATATGGGAATTCTCTGTACCTTCTGCTCCATTTTACTGCAAACCTAAAACTACTCTAAAAAAATAAAATCTACCAAAGGAGGAAACAAAACAAAACAAAACAAAACAAACAAACAACAATGAACCAAGCTATATGCTTTCTAATCATAAGAGTACTGGCTTAAATGACCACAGTATAAAATCATTGAGTCAAAAAATGTTAAAATCTTTGATGCAAGAAGTAGTGTCACAGTCAGTTCCAGAATTAGACGTACTTTCCAGAAAATGACATTATTTCTTTCTCTGCGATTTAAAGTTGGACTACATAAACCACACAGGATATAAAAGAAAGTATTGTTAGTAAAATACACCTGGAATCAAAAACACTTCATAATAGGAAGAATAATAGCCAACATATTAGAAAAGATTGATACTTATCTAAGAGCACATAAAATCAAATCTCATGGAAATCAAACTCAGGTATTTTAAAATGAATTAATGTCTATATTTTCATTCCTTCCCATCAGGTTTTTTTAAATGGTATATATTTGTTATATATAAAGTTTTGGTGCCACAAAAGGAATAGCACTTGAATATAAAATTTTCTTTTTAATTATCAGCAAGGCAACTTACTTTTATAGAAGGGTGCCCTTACAGATGGAGCAATGGTGAGTGCACACTTGGACAAGGGAGAGGAAAGCGTTCTTATTCCTGACTCACGTGGTCCCTGCTGCTGTGTCATTCCCCCGTTGGCTAGGATTAGACCGCACAGGCTAAACTAATTCCAATTGGCTAATTTAAAGAGAATGACAGGGGGAGTGCTTTGGTGGGAGTCACGGCAAAGCAGGTAGCAGGTAATCTAAATGAGTTAGGGTGGAGCAGGTGATCAGAATGAGTGAGGGTGGAGCAGGTGATCAGAATGAGTGAGAGTGGAGCAGGTGATCTGAATGAGTCAGGGTGTAGTAGTTAATGAAGAAAGGTTGCTTTACGAGGAAGTTCACTTTAAAAGTAGAAAGCAAAGAATTGAACATACTGACATATTAATTATTTGAAAAGTAATTTTGAACTCATATCTAACATATTTAAAGTGTATAATATGATGTGCTGATGTACATCTAGTGAAACAATTCCTACATCAAGCAAATTAGCATAGTCATCATCTCACATAATTACTTTTGTGTGTGTGTGGTTAGTTCTTAATGAAGTTGTTCATGTCTTCTCATTGGCTATCCTTACACATCCCTAGCTGAATAAAGAAAATATAAACACTCTGCTAGGACTAATAAATCTATGTCAGGTCTACTTTTATTTTTGCTTCTCTAATGAAACCCTGAATACAATTTGAGTGCAATATAATACCACAGGAATCTTCTGAGTGAACAAGTTTCTTTTCCACTCCTGAGTTGTTGGAAATTCACAGTAATTATGAAATATTAAAACCTAAAAAAAATATGAGCCTTCAAACTCCAGCTATGATACACTTCTGGTTAACAGTCAAAGTTTAATATATACGATGAAACCAAATTTTCACATTTTTTAAACAAATCTGGACTATTTTATTATTAAATATAAAAGAGATTTCTATGATGAACAGATTGAAAGATTTACAAAAAGGGGCTATCAAAAATATTCAATGTATACATAGAACAGAATAACTTAAAACACTGATACTTTATAAAACTGAAGAATTATTTGAAAAAAAATGTTATTATTGTTTGGAAAATAGAATGTTTCTTCAAATAAATTTCTAACACTTGACAAAATAAAATTTTATCATGCATACATTCTAAATTTTTGTGTGCTTCACAAGGATTAAGTATTTATTTTGAGTGTATTACATAGCTTCAATTATTTGGTACACATTTACAAGCAGCATAGTAAATTTATACAATATCATACATAGATACTAGCATGAGTTATATATCCTGAGAAGTGAAATCTTGAGGAATTGGGATTATATTTATTATTTTTCTATCAAGTATCACATACTTTAAAAATTACTTTAAATTGATTTTTAATTGACAAAATTGTATGTATTTATCATGTGCAATGTGAAGTATATATACACATTGTGAAATGACTAAATCTCACTAATTAGCATATGTATTACCTCACAATAGTTATTTTTATAGTGAGAATATGTCCACTCAGCATTTTTAAATAAGTCAATAAATTGTTATTAACTATAGTCATCATGTTGCACAATATGTGTCTTCAATTCATGCTTCCCATCTCACTGAAATTTTGTATCCTTTAACAAACATCTCAACAACCACCCTCTCCCCCAACCACCCCAGTCTCTGATAACAACAATTCTACTCTCTATTTCTATGAGATGAACTTTTTTAGATTCTTTATATGAGTGAGATGATGTAGTATTTGTTTTTCTGTGCCTGGCTTGTTTTACTTAATATAAACCTTTTCAAGTTTATCCACATTGTCACAAATAACAGGATTTCCCCATGTTTATGATTGAATAGTACTTTATCATGCATACATGTTGAGTATCTCTTATCTAAAATGCTTGGGATCATAAGTGTTAGGAATTTCATGTTTTTTTGAATTTTGGAATATTTGCACATACATAATGAAATATCATGGGGATCGAGCCCAAGTCTAAATACAAAATTCACTTATGTTTTATATACACCTTGTAAATGTAGTCTGAAAGTAATTTTATACAATATTTTTAATAATTTTTTGTATAAAACAGTTTGTGTACATTGAACCATCAAAAACCAAATGTGTCACCATCTCAGTCATCCATGTGGACAATCTGTGGTTGCTTAGCATCACCATCATTCCCAACTCTAAATTTATGGGGTACCAATAAGCAATCAGTTTTCTACACTTACACATAAGTAGTGAATGATAAAAAAAAAGATATATTATTAATACAGTGAAAAAGAAGGTGCTCAAAGTAACCAAGTAGCATAATAGCATCACCAGAATACCTCTATCAGCGTCTAAACATCAACAACAACAAACAGCAGCAGGCTTTCAGTCTCCAGCTGTGATGCTGCATTAAGATTAAAAGTTTACTGTACATTGTATTTTATATTTTTAGGTGAAAATCTGGGTGTGTGCGAATAAAAGTAAATTACACCTGAAGGAATCTGGGAGAGTCTTTTCTCCCTTGGGGATGCTGAATAAACTGGGCTATGTGCCTGTGTTTTGACTGTGAACTATCACATGGGGCAGGTGTGGAATTTTCCACTTGTGGTATCATGTTCACACTCAAAAAGTATTGGATTTTGGAGCATTTTGAATTTGGGCTGTTATATTACGAATGCCAACTTGTATATGCCATATGTTTTTATCCATTCATCCATTGATGAGGACTTCAGTTATTTTCATATCTTGGCTATTGTTAAGTAATGCTACAATGAATGTGGGAGCTCAAATATCTCTTTGATGTACTGATTTCATTTCCTTTGGATATACACCCAATAATGAGATTGTTGGATCATATAGTATTTCTATTTTTAATTTTTTGAGGAACATCCATACTGTTTTCCGTGACTGAATTAACGTTTCCATTAACAGTGTGCAAGGGTTCCCTTTTCACCACATCCCCACTGACACTTATTTTCTTGTGTTGATGATAGCCATTCTATCATGTGTGAGGTGATATCTCATTGTGATTATAGTTCTCATTTCCCTGATAATTAACAGTGTTGAACCAGTTTTCATACACCTGTTGGCCATTTGAATGTCTTCTTTTGGGAAATATTTATTCAGGTCTTTTGCTCATTTTTAAATCAGGTTAATCTTTTTGTTTTTGCTATTGAGTTGTTCTCGTTTCAAATATATTTTGGATATTAATCCATTGTCAGATGTATAGCCTGCAAATATTTTCTAACATTTTATAGATTGTCTCTTTACTTTGTTAATTGCTTCTTTTACTGTCAGAAGCTTTTCAGTTTGATGTAATCCCATTTGTCTATTTTTGCTTTTGTTGCCTGAAGCACTTCATATTTTTTATAGCTATATTTTTTTAATCCTCAAAGAATTACTTTGAAGTACTCCATAAATTTATTGATGAAACAACATTTTTAACAGTATAACCTGATTTTCTGTTTTTGTTTTGTTTTTGAGACAGGGTCTCGCTCTGTTGCTCAGGCTATAGTGCAGTGGCACGATCTCGTCTCACTGCAGCCTCTGCCTCCTGGGTTCAAGCAATTCTCTTCCCTCAGTCTCCTGAGTAGCTGGGATTACAGGTGAGCGCCACCACACCCAGCTAATTTTTCTATTTTCAGTAGAGACGGGGTTTCACCACATTGGCAAGGCTGGTCTCGAACTCCTGACCTCAAGTCATCCAACCCTCTGGGCCTCCCAAAGTGCTGGGATTACAGGCATGAGCCACAGCATGCGTGTAATCACAGACTTGATTTTAAGGTCACTTAGCTATTAATCTGTATCGGGATTTGAACAAAAATTTACTGATTGCAATTTTAGGACTTACTTAAACAATTACATAACATTTCCTTACACCTACTGTGGAATCTCTCAATTTAATACACTGAATATAATTGCCTTGAATACCAGAAGGTAGATTAGAACAAAGAGTTGATGGGTTTGTAAAAGTAATTTAGAAAACTTAATTTCAAAATATCTGATTCAAAGACTTTTTCTCTTCAAGGATGTTTGTGTATAACTTTTTAAAGGGAACCCAACCCTAGCAATTATAAGATTGTTACTGTAATCTCTTGGTGCAAATTTAAGTAATTCTCAGGACATTCCAACAAAACTATAAGGGAAGGATAATGTAGAGCATGAATTTTTACAAATCATTTAAATTGCTTTAAGAGCTGAAACAATGCAGAATGTAAGTATGTAAAGAAAAGTTTTAAAACGTAAATTCTGCAAATAAATCTGACAGTAATACAATTTTAAAAGAAACATTTGAAAATCATATCTAAAACTCCCATTCACACAAACAGTATTTATTGAATATTTGTTTTATACCAGCATTGCTCTTGGTTCTGGAAATTCCCATTCTCTGTTCCCATAAGGTGGTGTAAAAGGACTAAAATAGATTCCTTAAATAGATCATTCGTAATGCAATGAGAGTGACATGGAAAGAGTATTATGCAAAATAGATAAAGGAAAACTAACTCAGAGTGAAACATTCACTGATAGTTTTCTTAATTTAGAATGAATTTAAATTGTTAAAGAGGAGTTAGATAGGTAAAAGTGTTGAGGAAAAGGCATTTCCAGTAGAGATCAAGCATGCAACAAAATCCTGTGTGTGATAATGCAAAAGCAGGACAATGAACAGACCACAGTAAATATAAAACATGGTGTAATAAAAATGGAGCTAAAGAGGCAGGCAGATATGGAGACATCATGGTAAAAACATAAGGGATTTTTTTTGCTAGAGTCTACTTAGGTTGTAAGAAGATGAATGCATATTTAGATTCATATTTTATGTAGGTATCTGTGATTTTTACTTTCAAACCACTGAAAATGCACGTAAAATGTTAGATGTCACCTAATTTTTTTTTTTTTTTTGAGACCGAGTCTTGCTCTTGTCACCTAGGCTCGAGTGCAGTGTTACGATCTGGGCTCACTGCAACCTCTGCCTCCCGGGTTCAAGCAATGCTCCTGCCTCAGCCTCCAGAGTAGCTGGGATTACAGGAGTGCCCCACCACGCCCGGCTAATTTTTGTAGTTCTAGTACAGATGGGGTTTCACCATGTTGGCCAGGCTGATCTCAAACTCCTGACCTCAAGTGATCTGCCCACCTCGGCCTTCCGAAGTGCTGGGATTACAGGCGTGAGTCACTGTGCCCGGACACCTCATACATTTTTATTGATCTTTTTCTTGAGTTAATTATAAATTCATGAGCAGTTATTTTTTTAAAAATCAAATCTTGCATATCTTTTACCCATTTTCTCCTAATGGAACCATTCTAAAATACTCGTACAATATTACAACCAGAATACTGGCACTGAAGCACTGACTGTATCTACCAGTTTTATTAAAATTTCCTCAGTATTACTTGTATGAGTATGGGTGTATACATATTCAGCTCTTTATCTCTTATGTATTTTCATGAATAAACCACCACAGTAAAGACACTGAGCTGTTCCATAACCACAAGGATGCTATGTTTTCCTTTTATAGCCACACCTTCCTACCCCATCCCACCCCTGCCCTAACTCTGGGCAACCAATACTATGTTAATAATGCTTACCATTTTAAAAGTTTATTATTTAAAAACTATTATATGAATGGAATCATACACTATATACCTTTTGGAGACTGCTTTTTATTTCACTCAGTATAATTTCCTGGAGATTCAACCAGGTTGTTGTACATATCAATAGTTTGTTCTTGATTACTGCTGAATAGTGTTCCACATATGTATGTACATCCACATATGTATGTACCATAACTGTTTTACTATTCACCTGTTGAAAGACATCTAGTTATTTCAAATTTTTGGCTATTAGTAATAAGGCTGGCTGTTAAGAATGTTCATGTAAAAAGTTATTTTTGTGTGTGCGAACATCAGCTTTCATTTCTCTGGAGTAAATGGCAAGTAGTGCAATTGCTGGGTTTTTATTGTAATTACAGTTTTAGTTTTAAAATTAATTTCCAAAGTATTTTCTCAAGTGGCTATGCTATTTTATATTCTCACAGGTATGTAGTAATGATGTAGTTTCACTATTTTCTCTCACAATTTGGTATTTTCATGATTTTTTTTTAATTTTAGCCATTAGACAGATACAGAGTGATGCCTAATTATGGTTTTAATTTGTATTTCCCTAATAGCTAGTGGTATTGAATGTCTTTTCATGTGTTTATACGAAATCTATATATCTTCACTGATGAAATGTCTATCCATACTATTTGCTCACTTTTTAATTGGATTATTTTAAACATTCTACCTGTATAAAGATTTTCCTGTTTTTCGATTTTAATTTGATTCCTTTATGTTCAGAGAACCCCTTCTGTATGATTTCAATTATTTTAAATTTGTTAAGGTGTGTTTTTAAATGTATAAAATAATTACCTAATCTATTTGCAATTTCATAAAAAAATTAAAAGATTGTTTTTATTCTTTTTTATTTTATTTCATTTTATTTTTTTTTTTGAGACAAGGTCTCACTTGTTCGCCCAGGCTGGAGTGCAGTGGTGTGATCTCGGCTCACTGCAACTCCACACTGCCCCCCTACCATGAATGATCCTCCCATCTCAGCCCGTGAGCAGCTGAACTACAGGCATGCCCTACCATGCCTGACTAATTTTTGTATTTTCAGTAGAGAAGGGGTTTTGCCATGTTGCCCAGCTTAGCCCGAACTGCTGGGCTCAAGCAATTCACCCACCTCAGTCTCCCAAAGTGCTGGTATTACAGGCGTGAGCCACCACACCCAGCCACAATTTTTTAGTGAACACAAAATTGTTTGAAATGATACATTAAAAGTTGATGACTCACATATTAAATATCTCCTCCAGGGACTGAGGCTAACAGCAATTTATAGCTCACTGAATATTACCCTTGTGGCATTTAGTGTTTAAAGATATTCTGTCTATTAATTTAATTATTCTATATGCAGTGACTTGGACATTAGAAAGTATGAATTCACAAAATCATCATCAACTTAATATTTATGACAATGGAGATCACAAAAATTTTCCCAATAGTACGTTAATTTTAGCCACTGAAAATGACAACTCTAGAAAATAAATCTATCCATTTGTACATTTTAGATACACTTGTAAGAATCAACATAATTAAAACCAATTGCACAATGCAAACCTTAAAACCAGAAGTGTAGGGTATGATACACAGGACCAAATTTTAATGATATAATCTGTTCATTCCTTCAATTCTGTCACTTTAATTTTTCTTAAGGGTTTTAGATAGATGGCATACCACTTTTCTCTGATGTGCTCTATAATCCTTATCATTCTCTCAAATACGAAGCTTACTACCTTCTCATGATTTACACACTTAGCCTTTTGGAAGATGAGCGCCATTGAAGTGATTTGTTGGTTTCTTGATTGATTTTGTAATGCTAAACTACTTCGTAGTTGCTGTCCTAAGTCAGAATATCTACACTTCCCATTAAGCTCTTGAATCAAAAGGATTAATGTGATAGTAGAAAGAGACATATTCCAAAGCAGAAATAAATCTAACTAGAAATCTCCCCAAAGCAAAGGACAAGTACTTACATTGAATAAACTAAGCAAATTATAAAAAATAATATTATCTCCTTATAAAAAAGGCAGAAAAGGAAGCACAACAGTTAATCTTATAAAACTGTGCAAATATGTGTTTATGGTATATTACTAAGTTTATTCATAAATATGTAATACAAGTCAATCTTGAGTAAATAAGAAAATAATTTATAAAGATTCCTTCTCCTTGTTTCAGTTGGGACAAAGCTGAAAGACCATCTCACCTTCATATTTCATGATGTCAACTGAAGGCTGTTGAAACTGCATTAAAATTATTTTTTCTTCTCAATCCTGCTTTTATCTCTCCCTTACATGTGTTGTTACTTCCCAACAGACTTACTGCCCACAAACCTGCATCTCAAAGTTTGTATCTTGGGAAAGAAGACCTAAGATTAGTCAATGCCAGTAAAGCTGAAAGAAAGCTGACTCCAAAATAAACATTTCGTGTTTGATCAACCTGTCAACCAGATGGCAATGGGGAGCCCTTTATAAGTTTGTAAGAGACATACACATGCACACTACTGAGTTAAGTGTCAGCAGAATAATGATTTTGGAATATATGTAATAAAGATAACAATTAAAAACTACATATGGATAAGGTATTGGGAGGAAATATAAAATATTGGTTCTGTCATTTGATAGAAATATAATTTTTCATCTTTATACTAATTTATTATTCATTATTTTAATGAAATGATACATAAACTAAATTAATAAATTAAACCAGCTATTGAATTCAAACTTAATTATATTCTCAAATTCATTATTATTATCCCTAATTTTAGCATGCAACGGATTTCAGTCAACCCCCATAGAACATCACACACCTGTAAGTTAATCTCTGGAAAATCTTCTTTAATTTTAGTAAGCTCTAAACTGAACCTTTAATGCCACAGTTCTGGATTTTATATGATTCTTTTACATACATTCATATTTGACAATCCTGTTTTATGTCCCATCATGAAGAATTGTGACGATATAAGAAAGCTATTTCACCTACTCTCTAATTTAAATGAGTGACACCCTTAATGTCTTTCCTACGCATTTCCACTAGCCATTGTAACATTTTTGTCTGTGACACAATCATTGGCTTAATAGAACAATTACCCATCAATTATCTTCTTCCATACTCTTCTCTCCATATCACCCTAGTCCTCTTATAGCATATAATTAAATTTGCTGCATTAAATATTATCAACAACCTCTTTTTTTTTTTTTTTTTTTTGACGGTGTCTCGCTCTGTCGCCCAGACTGGAGTGCAGTGGTGCGATCTCGGCTCACTGCAAGCTCCGCCTCCCGGGTTCACGCCATTCTCCTGCCTCACCTCCCCAGTAGCTGGGACTACAGGTGCCCACCACCACGCCAGGCTAATTTATTTGTATTTTTAGTAGAGACGGGGTTTCACCATGTTAGCCAGGCTGGTCTGGATCTCCTGACCTCGTGATCCGCCCGCCTCGGCCTCCCAAAGTGCTGGGATTACAGGCGTGAGCCACCGCGCCGGCCATCAACAACCTCTTAATTGCCAAAAGTAGCATCTTCTTTTCTGCCTTTGGATTACCTAATAGAGTACTTCACCCTTGACTGTCCTTCATGGTTGAACTGCGTTGTTGTTGGTTTTTCTTTTGTTGCTGTTGTTGTTGTTCCGTAGGGATTTTGTTTGTTTTGCCTTGTTATTTAACAGCCTTCTCCATGCTGTCTTCTAAAAAAATCACACCCAACTCTCATACCCAGTCATATTTAATTATACCTTTAAATGCTTTCTAATATGTCATCTCCCTTTCATTCTCATTACCAGTGCTCTAGATAACTATACTTATCATTTTCCCACAGGCTGATTCAATGTTCGTATTTATTTCCTTATTTACTTTGAGATCTTGCTCTGTCGCCCAGGCTGGCGCGCAGTGGTGCGATCTCGGCTCACTGCAAGCTCCGCCTCCCGGGTTCAAGCGATTCTCCTGCCTCAGCCTCCCGAGTATCTGGGACTGCAGGCGCATGCCACCACGCCCAGTTAATTTTTTGTATTTTTAGTAGAGATGGGGTTTCACCGTGTTAACCAGGATGGTCTTGATCTCCTGACCTCTTGATCCGCCCGCCATGGCCTCCCAAAGTGCTGAGATTACAGGCGTTAGCCACTGCGCCAGGCCCAATTTTTAAAAGTATACTTATTTTCCATCCAGCCCTCAACCCACCCAATCATTTACACCTGCAGCTGCTGGATTAACATTTCAAAATCACAGTTCTGTTCATATCAGACACTTCTTCAAATCATTCACTGGCTTACTTCTGGAATTTGTAGTTCTTTACTGTGTGCCTTCAATTTATTTTTCCAATCCCCTAATATATAATTATATTCAGATGTTGCTGTCTACTTCTTGTTTCCAGAATATTTCAGATATTAACATGAATTTGCTCCAGTTCTTCAAAATCTGAACTGGCATCTCCCTCCTCTGGGTGAACTTCTCAAAGGTTTTTTTGTTGTTGTTGTTTTTTTAAACATTATTTCCCTTATCGTGTTTTTCTTGATTCTCTCTGCATGCTCATTACGTACATGAATCATTTTTGCCCATTCCCACTAGGAACTTTGCAATTCCTAATCTCCTTGCCTGGAGTGATACTCGCCAAGTAAGTTCATGATTGGATTTTGGGGCTATTTAGGTCTTGACTCATGTCATTCTGTCACAGATGTTTTCCTTGATGTAAACTAGTATAATCTACACAACATTTCTCAGTGTCTAAAATTATCTCTTTGTTGTATGCATTCACTTTTTTTTTCACTGTCTACTCCCTATAAGCTAGATAGGAACAGAAGTCTTGTTTTAAATTCTTTTGGGGGTTGTACTCTGTACTTTTGGGGGTTGTATAGATGTTACAGAGGAAAAAACAAGAGATTTTATCAAAATGTCCACTTTATGATAATGGAGCCAATATTTTGATCTCGGTATAACTGAGTACATTTTTCATCTTCCACTCTACACCTCTTTTTGGAATCAAAAGAGATAAAACTCAAAGAACGGCTTTGGCTTTCACTTGAGATTCAATTTCCTCACCCTTAAAATGTATACAATAGTGCCTGTTTATGTTTTTATTGTGCAGATTAAATGAGATAATATTTCTCCCAAATGCTTAAATAGCTCAGTGTATGATGCTATGAGGCTACATGTGGCAGTTTAGAGTTAATGGCAGGTAGTAGCTTAGTTTTTCCAGAGGATGGAATATAGTGTGCAAACCACGGTTATCGATACGCTGTTTGAAGGAAGTCTTCGGTATGTTTAGCACTTTTAGTTTAGGGCTAACCAAGTTCCACATAATAGACTAGGTACATCGTGTGTCCTAAGAGACAGCATCACACAATTAATTATATTTGGTTTCATTCTACTATCTTTGTTATTTTCTCCAGTTTACAAATCAATCAAACCAAATGGTGTAAAAATTACATATGAAAACAAACGGATTAAGTATACAGACTCCTATACTCCTTTAGTCATCTTAAAGTGGGTCTATTGTCATTGGCAGACTCTTTTGGGACATTTTCCAGGATAATTATTTAGTAATATATCAAAAATTTATAAATATATATAGATATGTATGTATGTAAAGTAATTGTGCTCTATGTGATTCCGGAATTCATATTTACCATTAAGAAACAAACAAACCTGATAGGCTTTGTGATGAGGTAGAGTTAATGAATAAAGAAAAAGGGTACTAATTTTGCTCTTATTTTATCTTCATGTTTTATATTTACAAAAGAGCACATTATTATAGAACATAATTTTAACTATGAGAGAGAAAGTTTGTTGAGATGAATATATCTAGAAATCGTTTCCAATAGTGTAAAGAGTGTTTTTTAGTGATAAAATCTTGAGGCTACTGCCACCTTTTAATAAAAATTTATTTGAAATTTTGAAATAATAGGACTATTGCGTTTAAGTAAAATCAACTTCTATTACTGAGACAATTTCAGTAGAATTTAATGAAAAACGCTGAATAGTCATTAGTCATCTGTTGACAGTAAACACATTACAACTTCAGTGGAAATTTAGAGATACAGAGACAAATATGTACACTCAGAATATAGCAACCTTCACAACTATGCCTAAATTTTAGTTCAATATATAGCAGACTTAAGACAGGTAACTATTATAAATTTGGAAATCAAACCTGTGATACAAAATTATTGGATATTTTACTGCATGTATTTCAAGGTTAGCATTCATACTATTCAACAAGTTCAAAAAATAAAGAATAAATATTTCAACAAGTGCACTTCCAGACACCATTTCTTTCAAACCAACAGTGAAATATATAGCAACAGTTAAAAAAAAAAAAAAAAAAAAAACTGCCTCCATGGAATATCACTAGATGGTACCATGCCCTTCTTTCTTGGAGATATAAACACTTAAAATAATTGAGTTTTACCAAAGATGTCCAGAAGTTTCTCTAAATATACTAGAGTGGGATCATTCTGACACAATGACTTATGCCACAAACTACCAAAGGCTGTGAAATGTGCCACCAATATAAATTGTTTTAAAAACAAAATTGGGCAAGTATTTGGAGAAAAGAAATACTGAAGGGCAGACCTGCTAAATCAAAAGGAAGCGATGGGCAATAAATGCCAAGCTACTGAGTTCTTGTGAGATTTACTGCCCGTTCCTACTGTGCAGTAGTCTCATTTTTTTTCATGTGAGGAAAATGAAGTTATTATAAGATATCATGCCAAATCTCATGAAATGTCATGAAAAAGCATTAAAAGTGGTCACTTTCTGCATGAAACTCCTGAAGATGATTTTGTAATTATCTATGGAAAACCAAAGCTATTTATAGAAAAAAAAAACCACCTTGAGTAATTTCATTTTGTTTAGGTTTCTTAATACAGGACATTTCATTCTTTTGTATTTCTTAAATGAGCATATATATGAAAGACATTAAATTCTGTTATTGTTTGTGGTAACTGATGTATTGTTTTAAATAAGGAAGACATTATTGACTCCATCCATTAATATTTTCTCACAAAGAAAATATTAATATTTATACAGGTCTGAATACTGATTTATTTTAAAAAATTAACTGCCATTTGTAAAGATGTGGCCCATGGCAAGGTCCTTCTAAGTACTGTACTCTAACAGCTTTACCTAGAAAAATTCAGTGAAATTCAATAAGTTTGCAACTGAATTATCTAGGTCAGACACACCTCTCCACCAACACACTGCTGTTCTTTCTACAAACCTCTTTGGCTAAATCACTCTAGAATCCTTTCCCAAAATGTAAACATTGGAATTAACTTTGGATGCTCTTTCTTTACACTGACTGTGATGAACTTGGGAATGTTCAACTTCCCAAATCTCTCTGCAAAGACATACTTGTTTTCTAGCTGATAAGAACACTGTCAATAGACAGTTTTCAGGGTTGGCCCCTTCTTAGAAGTTTGCTTTGGCTTCAGAGAGCTGTCTCAGCCAAGGTCATAGTGTTGGGGATGTAGCCCACAACCAGTGACAAATTGCATGGGTGTATACAGACTTGCCTCTTTAGCCAAGTGCAGAGCAACTCTAACCAGGCATTTAAGCAATTCTAAAAACTCCCTATTTGGTCTGTAGAAGCTGCTTGGACTGTATCACAAATTGATTTATCCCACTGCCCATTTCTGCTTCCTCTGTTCCCTTTCTAAAGATATTTATACCATGGGTGGTTTTTAATAAACACACTGAACACTAAACCGTCTCACAGTTTGCTTCCCAGATAATTTTATTTGCAATGCTCTCATACATTACCCCTTAATTATTTTTAGTGGTGCCTCTACCTGTATTGAAAATGCATCTAATTTTATAATTTCTATTGTCCTGTTTTATTATAGACTTAAACATTTCTATATTAGATCAAAGAAAGATCTCCTAACTGGGGCACAATTTTTCTTGTCCTATTTT
Organism: Homo sapiens; assembly: GCF_000001405.40. Taxonomy (NCBI): domain Eukaryota; kingdom Metazoa; phylum Chordata; class Mammalia; order Primates; family Hominidae; genus Homo; species Homo sapiens. The sequence goes on along the minus strand of NC_000005.10, from coordinate 99,639,530 downwards.
CTTCAAGTATAATATCTCACACACCAGAAAGAACTTTAAGCAAAATAGATTGTGTTACTGTTCTATCTTTATTCACATAGTGACAAACCAACAATTACAGAATAAGCTTTAACCTTTACATCACATACCAAGTCTATTTTTAAGTTGTGCCCAACTTTTTCAGACTCAACAGTTTGTTCAAACTTCTGTACCCTAGGATTTAGTCTTTGTAACAGTTCCTTCTTCCCTGAAGGAAAGGTACCTTAAACTACCTTTATTTTCTCAATTGAATATAATTACAGTTACTAGAGAAACAATATTATCTTGATGTACATGAGTGTTGATTTGTCCAATAAATTTTGCATTTACCTAAAGAGGCTTATAAGTGGACAAATTTCCACAGGATTTTTATCTTTCAAATATTGACCAAAAGAGTGAAGTAAGGATAACATTTTGTCCAAAATTATTGAAAACTACAGCACGTAGTCCTTTTATAAAACTTTGACATTAACATTAAAAAAATTGTAAGCCAAAAAACTTGTTCTCTCTCATAAAATGTGAACTCATTCAGCAAAGCGCCTACAAAATTGCATATACTGTGTGCCCAGTGTGTGTCAGTTTGTTGAATTAAATGAACTATTGCAAGTTTTAATTAATATTATTTGTGTAAAACTTAAACCATAAATCACACTAATTTTGATATTTTACATATATACATAAAATGTATATTTTAATATTCTACAGTTCTAAATTCAGAAAGTACAAATAAAGGGCAAACTAGAATTTTTTGTTTTATTTTATTTTTTAAAGCTCTTTTTTTCCTATCCATCTTATCTTTAAATTAACTTGTAGGGACTAAATCGATATCTTTCAGGGCTTTTGTTACCTTATCTTGATTTGGTGTCTCTGAACTAACAATGAAAATGCAGCTTATGTTTAGGTTTAGCTTTTCTATTTGAACCTACTAAAGGACAGAACTTAAATTTCTCCAGGCTATCATTCTCATTTAGATTTAAAAATCATTTTCTGTTAAAAAGAGGACATTTCTGCTACCATCATTATTATTTTAAAAATTTTAGCCAATTCTTTCCAAAGTTATCTATCTTCTCTATAGATTCTCTTTGCATGAATTTTAAATAATCTAAGATATTTTCCAAAAACCTTTGAAGGCTCTATAAATGTTAATCATTGTGACTTTCTGGGATTACTTGTATCAGTCTCGCTGAGGATTTAAGAGATTCCTTTTATTTATTCAAAGTCACATATTCTTTTAAAGTCTGTCTTTAGAAATAATAATAATAATGAGGTTTTCTTCATTGGAAGAGTAGACATTTTGGATTTGGGAAAAATTTGTGTTTCCTTTAAGTATTTTTTAGACTAAATATCTCTTTTTTAACTGTTCTTCAGATATCATTTAATCTAGATCCTACCCTGTCTGGGAAACACTCTGTTCATATTCATTTTTACCTAGGTAATATTAAAAGGTGGCATGTAGAGCTGAGCACTAACATTCCAAGAGTCTGATAGTGCAGAGTTTCAATGGGACTGCTATAATTTAGGTTTATGCTAATACAGCCTAAAGTCACTTTAGCCTTTGAACAAATCTTGCTGGAACATGTGATTTATCTGCCCAGGAAGACTTATAGAAATCAAATGTCTCAATCATTTTCAAACAGTGATAATTTTCTTTCAGTATTTTCCCCTTTGCTGACTCCCCTCTTCCACTATTTCTTTATGTTTTCTTCACATTCCTCATACCTCATAGATAGATAGATAGATAGATATAATTTTTTTTTTTTGGTAGAGGCAAGGTCTCACTTTGTCACCCAGGTTGATTTGGAACTCAAGCAATCCTCTCGCCTGGTCTCTGGGATTACAGGTGCAGGCCACTGTGTCTGGCCTATAGTAATTGTTCTCTGTATTTATAAGTATTTGAAATTATCTTTATGACTTTGCTAAATGTTTTGTTGTTACTGTTTTCCTTTTTTAAAAAAGTTTTGTGAAATATCTCACTTTGTTTTTTTTTTTTTTGAGACAGAGTCTCTGTCATACAGGCTGGAGTGCAATGGTCTGATCTCGGCTCACTGCACCCTCTGACTCCCAGGTTCAAGTGATTCTCCTGCCTCAGCCTCCTGTGTAGCTGGGATTACAGGCACCCACCACCACGCCCAGATAATTCTTGTATTTTTAGTAGAGACGGGGTTTCACCATGTTGGTCAGACTGGTCTCAAACTCCTGAGCTCCAAATCTCACTTATTTTTAAATGAAGTAGATTGGAGAGAATCGTAGGGAGATTTTTTGCTTCCCCTCTAAAGCTTGCACTTTATATTCTACACATTTGTTTCCTAGCTTGGATTACCTCTTTGCTGCCCTAAGTTCTTTATCTTGCTTCTCTCTTCATCTTAACTCACACTTGCCTATAAGCCCGTCCACCTAATGAGTAATCAAATAACACTTTCACTTAAACTTCATATTTACTATCTGTACACATTTTAAGTTTAGAGAGATTTGGCTCTTTTAATACATTATGGTTTGAGGTATCATTTCTAAAACTACTTTTCAGAATTTCAAGAAAAAGACAGGCTGCTAATTAGAAATTGTAGACATTCAATAAAAGAAAATCATGTACATTAAATAAATGAAAGACAGAAGAATATCTTTAATCAAGGAAAGAACAATGTCAGCATTTCCCAAGTCTTATTATCGTTTATGTTGCTCTCACTGGTGAGACCCTGAGAGTGTCCAGGAAACCATTTCCTCTACCAAGTTTTAAAACAGTGCATCTTAACCTGACTTTGCTTCTTGTTAAGGAGTATCTAACGGTTTTAATTCCTAAATGTGTCAACACTGCAAACTATAAGAAAACTAGAATAAAAAAGAACACAATTCTATTAAACATCTTGTGTGTGGAAGTTTTATAGCAAGGAGAAAATTATAAATACTGGAAGAGTGCATCAAAAAGAAAATGAATAATGTATCCACTAATACATGAAAAACCATGAGGTCATATGTACAGAATTTGTACAAATTGAAAGGAAGAAGCAGAAGCAGGAGCATACCAAAATAAAAATAATTATTTCTTATTGCTATTGATACTGGTGAAATGGAGCATCACACTGCATTGCTGTGACATAGATTTAACACTTTTGGAAATTAATGAATCTGCATTATGTAGCATGAGTTGTAATAATATTTAAAACTGACATAGTAACTTAGTATCTGATAATATGCCCGTGACTTCCTAATGCATAATCCTATTTTAGCATCTATTATCATTAGCAGACTTATTTTATTGTGTGTTTGTTAGTGGGTTTATTGTCTTTGTTTCCCACTATTTCAATCATTTTATCCGACTGCTTTAATCCTCTTCACCTCCAAATCCACAAACAAACCCACACTTGACGCAAATTTGAATTGAGGGCTAGTGTTTTCTCCCCTTTTTGTTTATTTCTTTTTTCTGCATTGAAATCAATGTTGAGCACATAATAGAAGCTCAGTTAATTTAGTTACAATTGCCCACATGTAAAAACAAACAGACGAACAAAAAACTACCATATGAATTTATTAATTTAAAACCAAATTTAAAAGTTAAAAATTGGAAAAACTACAAACATCCAAAATTTTGGAAATTAGAGCAAAAATGGCAATAACCAATCAAATTAAACAAAAATATATAAACCACTTTGAGTATCAGCCAGTTTATTAGATGATGTCACTAAACTATATATTGAAAAATGCAAATTACACGTTATTGTATATAAAAATTAATATACAAGTGTATTTTGAGGTGCATTAGAACTACATATAAAACAATTTGAAAGAAGAGTTCCAAATCTCATTAACTCATACAGCCCCTTGAGGTTCTTTTCAAAGCTATGATTCCAGAATAGTCAGCAAGCTCAGGGAATTCTCAGACAGCTAATGAAATTCATAGATATAATAAATATGATGAATATTACTTGTAATATGAAGGTAAGGCTACATTTTTAATTATCTGTATGTTTTTATTATTACCAAAACTGGGCAATAAAGGGAAGACAAATTGTGTTATAAAATATATATACAATAGAGCCTCAATTAGTTATTAACATATATTAGTTATTAAAATATACATTTTTATCTTATTTTGCATTTGTTCATTGTATATTAGAATGTAAAGTAAAGGTGGTGGAAATGTCAGATAAATTAACAAAGAGTATAAGATATTTAAAATAAAGGGATGGAGAAAAATCTACCAAGCAAATGGAAAGTAGAAATAAGCAGAGCTTGCAATCTTAGTTTCTGAAAAAACAGACTTTAAACAAACAAAAATAAAAAAAGACATTACATATTAATAAAGGGTGCAATTCAACAAAATCTATCTATCTATCCTAAATATATATGTGCATCCTACACAGGAGCACCCAGATTCAAAAAGCAAGTTCTTAGAGAACTTCAAAGAGACATAGAGTGCCACACAAAAATAGTGAGAGATTTATCACCCCACTGACAATATTAGGCAGACCACTGAGACAGAAAATTAACAAAGATATTCAGCACCTGAACTCAGCACTAGATCAAACAGATCTGATAGAGATCTACAGACCTCTCCACCCTGACACAACAGAATATACATTCTTCTCATAGCAACATGGCACAGACTCTAAAATATCACATGATCAGAAATAAAACCCTCCTCAGCAAATGCAAAAGAACTGAAATCAAAGCAGTCTCTCAAGTCACAGTGCAATCAAATTCAAAATCAAGACAAAGGAATTCACTCAAAACCATACAATTACATGGAAATCGAATAGCCTGCTCCTGAATGACTTTCGGGTAAATAATGAAATGAAGGCAGAAATTAAAAAGTTCTTTGAAACTAATGAGAACAAAGATAAAATGTACCAGAATCTCTGGGACACAGCTAAGGCAGCATTAACAGAGAAATTGATAGCACCAAATGCTCACATCCAAAAGTTTAGAAAGATCTCAAATTAACCACATAACATCGCAACTAAAAGAACTGGAGAACCAAGAGCAAACAAATCCTAAAGTTAGCAGAAGACAAGAAATAACAGAAATCAGAGCTGAACTGAAGGAAATGGAAACACAAAAACAATCCAAAAGATCAATGAATCCAGGAACTGGTTTTTTGAAAAAATTAATAAAATAGATAGACTGCCAGCTAGACTAATAAGAAAAGAGAACATTCAAATAAAAACTATCATAAATGACAAGGGGGATATTACCACTGACCCCATAGAAATACAAACAAACATCAGAGGATATTATAAACACCTCTATGCACATAAACTAGAAAATCTAGACCATGATCATCACTGGTATGTGAAGCTGACTCGACAAACACAAATCAATAAATTTGATTCATCACATAAACAGAACTAACGACAAAATGACATAATTATCTCAATAGGTGCATAAAGGCCTTCAATAAAATTCAAAATCCATTCATGTTAAAAAAAACTGTCAATAAACTCGGTATTGAAGGAACATACCTCAAAATAATAAGAGCCATCTATGACAAACCCACAGCCAACATCATACTGAATGGGTAAAAACTGGAAGCATTCCCTTTGAAAACTGGCAAAAGACAAGGATGCCCTTTCTCACTACTACTATTCAACATAGTATTGGAAGTTCTGGCCAGGGCAATCAGAAAAGAGAAAGAAGTAAAGGACATTCAAATAGTAAGAAGGGAAGTCAAATTATCCCTGTTTGCAGATGACATGATCCTATATCTAGAAAATCCCATAGTTTCAGCCCCAAAGCTTCTTAAGCTGATAAACAGTTTCAGCAAAGTCTCAGGATGCAAAATCAATTTGCAAAAATTACTAACATTCCTATACAGCAACAACAACAGTCAAGCCAAGAGCCAAATCAGGAAGGAAGTCTCATTCACAATTGCCACAAAAAGAATAAAATACATAGGAATACAGCTAACTACAGAGGTAAAAGATCTCCCTTTCCTTGTCTTCTTGTAGAGACAAGAAGGACTACAAGCCATTGATCAGAGAAATCAGAGATGACAGAACTGAAAGAAAAAACATTTCATGTTCTTAGATAGGAAGAATCAATATCCTTAAAATGGCCATACTGCCCAAAGCAATTTATAGATCCAATACTATTCCTATTAAGCTGCCATTTATATTCTTCACAGAACTAGTAAAAGCTATTATAAAATTGATATGGGGCAAAAAAAAAATAGCCCAAATAGCCAAGCAATCCCAAGCAAAAAGAACAAAGCTGGAGGCATCATGCTACCTGACTTCAAATTATACCACAGGACTACAGTAACCAAAACAGTATGGTACTGGTACAAAAACAGACATATAGACCAATGGAAAGGAATGGAGAATCCATTAATAAGACCACACACTTACAACTATCTGACCTTTGACAAACCTGACAAAAACAAACAATGGGGAAAGGATTCCCTATTCATTAAATGGTGCTGGAATAACTAGCTAGCCATATGCAGAAGATTAAAACTGGACCCCTTCCTTACACCATATACAAAAAAGAACTGAAGAGGTATTAATGATTTAAATGTATCACCCCAGCATATAAGAACCCTGGAAGACAACCTAGGCAATACCATTCAGGATATGGGTATGGGCAAAGATTTCATGATGGAGATACCAAAAGCAATTGCAACAAAAGCAAAAATGGACAAATGGAATTTAATTAAGCAAAATAGCTTCTGCACAGCAAAGGAAACTATCATCAGAGTAAACAGACCACCTACAGAATGGGAGAAAATTTTTGCAACCTATGCATTTGACAAAGGTCTAATATCCATCATTCATGAGGAACTTAAATTTTCAAGAAAAAACAATCAACCCCATTGAAAAAGCGGGCAAAGGACATGAACATGACCAGACACTTTTCAAAAGAAGATATACATGCAGCCAACAATCATATGAAAAAAAAGCTCAACATCACTGGTCATTAGAGAAATGCAAATCAAAACCACGATGAGACACTATCTAACACCAGTCAAAATGGCTGTTGTTAAAAAGTCAAAAAATAACTGATGCTGGTGAACACGCAGTGAAAAAGGAAAGCTTATACACTGTTGATAGAAGTGTAATTTAGTTCAACTTTTGTGGATGACAGTGTGGTGATTCCTCAAAGACCTAAAGACAGAAATACCATTCAACCTAGCAATCCCATTACTGGGTATATACCCAAAGGAATATAAATTTTTCTGCCATAAAGACACATGCGCATGTATGTTCATTGCAGCATTATTCACAATAACAAAAACATGGAATCAACCTAAATGTCCATCAATGATAGATTGAATAAAGAAAATGCAGTATATATACACCATTGAACACTATACAGTCATAAAAAAGAATAAGATAATGTCCTTTGCAGGGACACGGTTGGAACTGGAAGCCATCATTATTAGCAAATTAACACAGAAACAGTACACCAAATACCACATGTCCTCACTTATAAGTGGGAGGTAAATAATGAGAACACATAGCCGCATAGAAGGGACAAACACAGACTGGGGCCTGTCAGAGGGTGGAGGGTGGGAGGAGGGAGAGGATGAGGGAAAATAACTAAGAGTACTAGGTTTAATACCTAGGTGATGAAATAATTTGTGTAACAACAACACCCCATGACACAAGTTTACCTATACAACAAACCTGCACATGTATCCCTGAACTTAACATAAAAGTTTAAAAAAGTATAAATTCTTATTGCATTTTAAACCAACAATTAAATAAAATCTCCACTCAGAAAGTTAAAAAATAAAAATAAAAAAATAAAATCTGAAAATTATGCCTATAAACAAAACATTACTATAAAGACTTAGAAATTATTATAAGGTTAACTCAATAGAAATTTCACATATACACGTACACACATATATGTGTGTATGTATACTTAATGGTGAGCCATTGGCATGTTGATCATTGAAAACATTTATTTAAAACATCTAGATTTTAAGCAAAAACACTAAAAATAAATTGGCTCATAATTTTGGAGGGTAAAAATTTATTTGTATCCAAGGAATAACCTAATGTAAGTGAACAATTATAAATACAAAAATACGCATACATTTTAGTTAATATTTTAAATTCTAGTCCAAAATTCAATTAAATCTTATAGAATACATCTGAATTTTTCTAAGTCTGAGTGCCCCCAAAGGTCAAAAGAAAATTCAGAGACTTCAGTCTCAAAATGATAAATTTCCGATATTTTTTCTGTTGCAATTAATGGATGTATTAGGAGTGATGTTTAACTTTACAAACTTTTTATTAAACTTTTTTATAAACTTTTATTTACCAAAATATGTTTTGCCTAAAATAAATTGCATCTTATGTTTAATACTCTCCCTAACTCACTGATAAAAATGCTTTGTGTTATTCATAATATTGTCTCTATTAGATATTTTGTTATTTACTTATATGTTATTTGTCTCTCTTCCTCATAATTTTGGTTCTAAGAATATTAGTCCAATTCAACATTTTAATGCCTAGAGCCTAGAATACTGTCTGGTTTATTTTAAGAACATAGTAAATGTTTGATTAATGACATCTACCTGGATCATATTCAAGTCATAGTACCGAGACTTTGTTTTTGTAAATTTATATTTATTATTCAATACAACTTAGTAACTAGGATGAAAAAAAGTAACACACTAATCACAATGAGAAAAATAAAAAGTGTGACCATATCAAGTAAAGTGATAACACTATAATTATACTAAAGTGATATGGTTTGGCTGTGTCCCCACCCAAATCTCATCTTGAATTGGAACTCCCACAATTCCCACGTGTCATGGGAGGGACTCAGTAGGAGGTAATTGAATGATGGGGGTGGGTCTTTCTCATGATATTCTCATGATAGTGAATAAGTCTTACAAGATCTGATGGTTTTAAAAAGAGAGAGAGCTTCCCTTGCACAAGCTCTCTCTCTTTGCCTGCTGCCATTCATGTAAGTCGTGACTTGCTCCTCCTTTCCTTCCACCATGATTGTGAGGTTTCCTCAGCCATGTGGAACTGTAAATCCATTAAAACTCTTTCTTTTGTAAATTTCCCAGTCTCAAGTATGTCTTTATCCGCATTGTGAAAACAGAGTAATACACAAGGCGATGGAATTATGCACATTAGTGAAAATGAGTGAACGTTTTCTAAATCAATGGTATGAGTGAATCTCCCAACCATAACTTTAAATGAAAGCAGACAGACAGATAAATCATGAAAACTGGCAAATCTATACAATGGTAATAAAAGTCATAATACTGAGTGCTTTTGGGAAGGGTGATAATGACTGGAAATGCACAAAAAGGGACATGTGGGTACATTAATTTTCTATTTCTTATCAATCTTGTGGTTCCACAGCATATTAACTTTGAGACAATCTATTGAACTGAACATTGTGATTTGTGTACTTTTTTGTATGTACGCCATATTTCAATAGTAGTTCACTTTTTAAAAAGGGGTAGATTTTCTGAGATAGGATAAGAAACTATTTTTATATTTTATAAGTTGAAAAAGAAGCTATTTTGAAATCCTTGTTTAGGAGGTAGAGTTAGATAGCAGTAGGGTCAGTTCCTAAACATTGATCCTTAGAAAATCATAATTTTGCTACAGAGAGAAAAAAGAGAAATGAGATCAAATTTCACATGACTAAAATGTGATCTTTAAAACTACATTGAAATGCATGCTTAGCAATATATTATTCATTTCTAAACGTAAGTGAAAAGTAAATACACTTGATTGCAGTAACTGTGAAAAACATATACATCAAAGTGACATGATCTTGAATTGAAACCACATTTACTTAGTCTCTCTTGTTTCATATACCAAAAATATCAGAAAAGGGAACAAAGCACTGCAATGTCTTTATAATTACCTTGTTATTATTTTTAAATATAGTAAAATTAGACTTTTATTCATTACAAAACCACAGACTTGATATGTTAATTGGCCTCTGGTTTTATCCCAAATAAAATATCTAATTAATTTAGGAACTACTTTTATCCATGCTATATTGTCATTCGTTATTAGCCTAAAGTGCAAATAAGCCTATCACTAAAGTGGGAGTCATTATTTGTCCATTAAATAGAGAAGTGAGAAAAAAAGGACATCAAATAAAAAAGGAAATTATTTAATGCAATAAGTCATCTGCTATTACTTGATTTTATTTGTTTGTTTTTGTTTTTCCAGTAACTTACAGGGCTAAGGATACAACTCAGAGTGGGCCAGAGGAATTTTTTCTTATTTCGTCAGATGCGAAGTTGATTCAGATTACCAGGTCTCAGGAGAATGTAAAAGGACAGGAGTACAAAATGCAAGCCAGTGTAGAAGAAAATTGAAGATACTCACGGGTTTCAGTAACTTAAGCAGGGGAAAAAAGGCATCCCTACACTCAGGTTTAAATACAAAATTTCAACTTTCCTATAATTTAGTAACATTTAGTTTGATTTATGGCAAGTGCTATTAAAATTCTATTTCAACAATTTTGTGACCAGTGAGTTTTCAGAAATCTTTCTTTCAGACATTACTAGGAGTTCAGGAATACAGAAATAGGATGGACAATAGGCTACCAAAGACCGTATTTTATATGAATTGATCATGAAACTTATGCCCACCCCAGGCAGCAGCAGCAAGGTGCTCAGAATATCTGGGCACTGGGGGAGAGAGAACCCACCCTTTATGAGGCATTGAACTCAGTGCTGTGCTATTAGAACAGGAAGGAAAACCAGATCAAACTTAGCTGATGCTCTCACACAGAGGGAGCATTTAAACCAGCCCTAGCCAAAAACGAATCACTAATTCTAGCAGTATCACTCCACCTGTAACAACAGGCTGCACAGCTCACAGATCCAAGAGAGATCTTATTCTTCCACTTGAGAAGAGGAGAGGGAAGAGTGGGGAGGACTTTGTCTTGCATCTTGGATACTAGCTCATCCACAGCAGGATAGGGCAACAGTCAGAGTAATGAGGCTCCACTCTAGCCCCTAGCTCTCAGATGACACTTCTAGACACACCCTGGGCCAGAAGAGAGGATGCTGCCTTAAAGGAAAAAAACAGTCCTGCCGGCATTCATCATTCACCAACTAAAGAGCCCTGGGCCCTGAATAACCGGTAGTGATACCTAGGTACTACATTAAGGGCCTTGGGAGAGTCTCTGAGACTTGATGACTTTTCAGGTGAGACTCAGCATATTAGCAGCAATGGTGGCTATGGGGCAAAACTCCTTCTGCTTGAGAAAATCAGGGGGAAAAGTAAAGGGGATTTTTGTCTTGCACCTTAGTTAACAATACTGCCACAGTGGGGTAGAACACCAAATGGGCTCTTGGGTCCCTGATTCCAGGATTTGACTCTCAGATGGCATTTCTGGACATGCCCTGCCTGGGTCAGAGGGGAGCCCACTGCCCTGAAGGGTGAGTCTCAGGCCAGGCAGCATTCACCACAAGCCAACTTAAGAGACCTTGGGCCTTAAGGGAACATGGTTGGTAGTCTGACAGTATTCCTTGTGGCCTGGGGTGGCAGTGGCTACAGGAGGAGGCTCCTCTGCCGTTGGCAAAAGGAGGGGTAGGGAAAGAGTGGGAAGGTCTGAGTCTTGTGGTTTGAGTGCCCACTCAGCCACAATACAATAGAATACCAAGTAGTCTTCTAAGATCTTTGACTGTAATCCGTGATTCCCAGATGACACTTCTGGACTCATCTGGGGCTTGGGGGACCTCGCCCCCCATGAAGGGAAGACACAAGTCTATCTGGCTTTGCCACTTGTTAATTATAGAGCCCCAGGGCCTTGAGTGAACGTAGGCAGTAGCCAGGGAGTGGGTACATCAGGCCTTCTGTGAGACCCAGTGCTGTGCTGGCTTCAGGTCTAATCCAGTCAGTCATAGAGGTGGTGGCCACAGGGGTGCTTGTGTCACTCCACCCCCAGCTTTAGGTGGCTCAGAACAGAAAGAGAGAGAGAGAGAGAGAGAGAGAGACTCTATATGTTCGACATAATGTAAAGGAAGAGAAAAAGAGTCTCTGCCTGGTAATTCAGAGAACTTTCCTGGATACTCTTCAAGGCCATCAAGGTGGTGCATCTCTGAGTTTGCAAGAACAACAACATTATTGGGTTTGGGGTGCTCTTTAAAGCAGAAATAGCTTAGATCACAAAACTCAAGTCCTTGAAAATATCTGGAAAACCTTCCCAATAAGGGTGGATAAAAAATAAGCCCAGATAGTGAACACTACAATAAATATCTAACTATTCAATGCCCACACATGGAAGAACATCTGCTGGCTTCAACGCCATCCAGGAAAAAACAAACACACCAAATGCACGAATAAGGCACCAGGGAGAAACAGAGATCCTGGAAATCTCCTGGATAAACAGAAATATGTCATCTTTCAGACAGAGAATTCAAAATACCTGTGTTGAGGAAACTCAAAGAAATTCAAGATAAGAGACAAGAAAGGCAGAATTCTATCAGCTAAGGTTAACAAAGAGATTAAAAACATTGAAAATAATGCAGCAGAAATTCTGGAGTTAATGAATGCAATTGGCATACTGTAGAATGCATAAGAGTCCTTTAATAGCAAAATGGATCAAGCAGAAGAAAGAATTAGTGAGCCTGAAGATAGGCTATTTGAAAATACACAGTCAGAGGATACAAAAGAAAAAAGAATAAGAAAACTATGAAGCATGACTACAGGATCTAAAAAAATAGCCTCAAAAGAGAAAATCTAAGAGTTACTGGCCTTAAAGAGGAGGTAGAGAAAGACACAGGGATAGAAAGTTTATTCAAAACAATAATAAGAGAACTTCCCAAACCTAGAGAAAGATATTAATATCCAAGTACAAGAAGGTTACAGAACACCAAGCAGATTTAACCCAAAGAAGACTACATCAAGGCATTTAATAATCAAACTCCCAAAGGTCAAGGATGAAGAAGGGATCCTAAAAGCAGCAAGAGAAAAGAAACAAATAACATACAATGGAGCTCTAATTGATCCGGCAGTAGACTTTTCAGTGGAAATCTTATGACGGGAGAGAGTGGCATGAAATGTTTAAAGAGCGGAAGAAAAAAACATCTTTTATTCTAGAACGGTATATCTGGCAAAAATGTTCTTCTAACATGAAGGAGAAATGTCCCAGACAAACAAAAGCTGAGGATTTCATCAATACCAGACACACCCTACAAGAAATGCTAAAGAGAGTAAGTACTTCAACCTGAAAGAAATAGAAATTAACAAGAAATAAATAATCACCTGAAGGTACAAAATTCAATGGTAATAGTAAGTACACAGAAAATCACAGAACATTATGACATTGGTACTGTGGTCTGTAAACAAGTTTTATCCTAAATAGAAAGATTGAATGATGAACTAATCCAAAGTAATAAGTATAACAACATTTCAAGACATAGTCATTAGAGTAAGAGATAAATAGAAACAACAAAAGTTTAAAAAGTTGGGGGACAAAGTTAAAGCAAGTTTTTCTTGGTTATCTTTTTGCTTTTTTGTTTATACAAATAGTGTTAAAAATGTTATCAAGTTAAAATAACTGGTTATAAGATTGCATTTGCAAGCCTCATCTCATGATAATCTCAAAACAAAATTTAAAAAAAAAACATACAATGGAAACAGAAAAAATAAAAAGCAAGGCTGGGCACTGTGGCTCACACTGTAATCCTAGCACTTTGGGAGATGGGTGGATTACCTGAGCTCAGGAGTTTAAGACCAGCCTGGACAACATGGTGAATCCCTGTCTTTACTAAAAATATAAAAATTAGCCAGGTGTGGTGGCACACACCTATAATCCCAGCTACTCAGGAGGCTGAGGCATGAGAATCACTTGAACCCGGGAGGTGAAGGTTGCAGTGAGCTGAGATCACACTAATGAACTCTAGCCTGAGCAACAGAGTGAGACTCTGTCTCAATAAAAAATAAAATAGAAAGCAAGAAACTAAATCATATCACCAGAAAAAAAATCACCTTCAGTAGAGGAAGATAGGAATAAAAAAAAAGAAATAAAAAGATCACAAAACAACCAGAAAACAAATAAAAACATGGCAGGAGTTAGTCCTTACTTATCAATGATAGCATTAAATGAAATGTACTAAACTTTCTAATCAAAACACATAAACTAGCTGAATGGATGAAAAAATGAGAACTATTGATATGTTGCCTACAAGAAACACATCACCTGTAAAGACACATAGAATAAAAATTAAGGTATGGAAAAAGGTATTACATGCCAATGGAAACCAAAAACAAACAGGCATCAGTATGCTTACACAGAATTGATTTCAGGATGAAACTATGAGAAGAGACAAAGAAGGTCACTCTATAATGAAAAATGGGTCAATTCAGAAAGAGAATATGACTATTTTAAATATATATGCACCCAACACTGGAGCATCCAGATATAGAAATAAAATATTGTTAGAGCTAAAGAGATAGAAAGGACTCAATACAATAATAGCTGGAGACTTCAATACCCCATTTTTAGCATTGGACAGGCCTTCCAGACAGAAAATCAACAAACATCACATGTAATCTGCACAATAGACCAAATGGATCTAATATATACTTACAGAACATTTCATGCAAGGGCTGCAAAATACACATTCTTTTTCTCAGCACATGGATCATTCTCAAGGCTAGACCATATGTTAGGTCACAAAACAAGTATCATAAACATTCAAAAATTTAAAATAATATCAAGCATTTTCATGAACTACAATGGAATAAAACTAAAAATTAATAAGAAGAGGAGTTTTGGAAACTATACAAATACATGGAAACCAAACAATATGCTCCTGAATGACCAGTAGATCAACGAGGAAATTAAGAAGGAAGTTGAAAAATATCTTGAAAGAAATGATAATGGAAATATGACATACCAAAACCTATGGGATACAGCAAATGCAGTACCCAAAGGGAAGTTTATGGCTATAAATGGCTTCGAAACTGAAGACAAACTTCAAATAAGCAATCCAACAATGCATCTTAAAGAACTAGAAAAGCAAGAGCTAACAAAAAATCAAATTAATAGAAGAAAAGCCATAATAAAGATTATAGCAGAAATAAATAAAATTTCAATAAAAACATACAAAAGATCCATTAAACAAAAAGTGGGTTGAAAACTTAAACAAAGCTGACAAACCTTTAGCAAACTAACTATGAAAAAACAAATAGAAGATCCAAATAAATAAAATCAGAAATGAAAAAGGAGACATTACGACTAATACTACAGAAATTCAAAGGAACATTAGTGGCTACTATGAGCAACTCTATGTGAATAAATTGGAAAATCTTGAAGAAATGGACAAATTCCTAGATACATACAACTACCAAGATTGAACCAGGAAGAAATCTAAAACCTGAACAGGCCAATAGCAAGCAACCTGTTGAAGCTGTAATAAAACATGTGCCAGTAAAGACAAGCCCAGAACTTGATGGTTTCACCACTGAACTCTACCAAACATTTAAAGAAAAACTAATGCCAATCCTACTGAAACTATTCTGAAAAATAGAAGAGGAGGGAATACTTCCAAACTCATTCTATGAGGCCAAAATTACCCTGATACCAAAACCAGAAAAAGACATATCAAAAAAGAAAGAAAACTACAGGCCAGTATCTTTGATGAATGATATTGTCTCACCCCAGTTACGATGACTTATATCTAAAAGACAGGCAATAACAAATGCTGGTAAAAATGTGGAGAAAGGGGAAATCTCATACACTGTTGGTGGAAATGTAAATACGTACAACCATTATGTAGAACAGTTTGGAGGTTTCTCAAAAAACTGCAAATTGAGCTACCACATGATCCAGCAATCTCACTGCTGGATATTTATCCAAAAAAAGGAAATTAATATATTGAAGAGGTATCTGTAATCCCATGTTTGTTGCAGCTGTTTACAATAGCTAATATCTGGAAGCAAACTTAGTGTCCATCAACAGATAAATTTTAAAAAATTTGGTACTTATACACAATTGAATACTGTTCCGACATTAAAAATAATGAGATTCAGTAATTTTCAACAACATAGATGGAACTGGAGATCATTATGTTAAGTGAAGAAAACCAAGTACAGAAAGACAAACATCACATGTTCTCACTTATTTGTGGGATGTGAAAATCAAAACAATTGAGCTCATGGACATAGAAAGAAAAGGAAGGTTACCAGAGGTGGGGAAAGATGGCTGGAGGGGAGGTGGGGATGGTTAATGGGTACAAAAAAATAGAAAGAATGAATAAGACCTACTCTTTGATAGCACAGTAATGTGATAGTAGTCAATAATAGTAAATAATAACGGTACACTTTAAAATAACTTAAAGAGAATAATTGTATTGTTTGTAACTCAATGAACAAATGCTCGAGGCAATAGATACCCGATGTTTCATGATGTACTTATTTCACATTGCATGCCAGTATCAAAACATTTCATGCACCCCATAAATATATATATACCTGCATTGTACCCACAAAAATTAAATATAGTATGAAAAATAAAAAGTGTAAATAAAAATTTTAAACTAATTATCTTTCAACACATTCACAGACTTTACAGAGTCTTCAGGACACTTGATTACAAGGAAATATATTTAGTACACGTATTTTGTAGTAGAATTAGTCACTGTTTAAAACTTTTGCAGCATGTTCAACACTCTACCTTAAATCCATTTTAGCAATTTTTCCTATAGCCCATTTTATATTTGGTTAGTTTTTCAAGAAAAGTCAGCAAAGATAGATATTCTCTCCTAATTCTACTATTTCCCTACTCTACTATCATCCTACTCATGATTTTAAGGCTGTTGGCATCAATTCCATGCTTTTTGTTTTTGTAGACATTTTATCACAGACAATAGGCAAGATTTTACTCTTTCCACAGTCTCTAGAGAAAAACCTTCTGTAAGGAAGCCCAATTTTTTATCCTGTTTATCCAGGAGGTTGTGGAGGTAGAGAAGGTGAAAAAAATGCTCCGCCAAAGGTTCTGAATTCCCGGAGCTGATGACCATCACTGTTCCTGCACAGCTCAGTTGAGTCCTAGCTCAGTTTGGGCCAGCTCTGAGCCCCTAGACAGGGCACATAGGTGTGTGGTGGTTCCTCTGCTGGGTGGGGGTGGGGCTGTTGCCAGTGGCAGCAGCATCAGGCAGTTTATTCTCAGACTTGGGAGAATGCATGCGTTGGTTTCCTTTGTCCTGGCGGCAGGCTCCTTCATCTGCTAGACCACCTGTTTCCTGGTGTACAGGGTGCTGCGTGGCCTCAAGTGTTATAAACCTGGCTGGCCACATTACTGGGTCCAGCCAGCACTGTGACTCTGCAACCCTTTGGGTGGATGTGGGGGATGTTAGTGAGGCCCCAGGAATATAGAGACACGGAAACTATTGGAC
This sequence comes from Homo sapiens, assembly GCF_000001405.40. NCBI lineage: Eukaryota > Metazoa > Chordata > Mammalia > Primates > Hominidae > Homo > Homo sapiens. Next base: position 99,622,180 of record NC_000005.10, on the reverse strand, counting down.
CACAGGGAAAATTGAAATACAGTTTGGCACTGCACTAAAAATGGTGTCATGCTCGAATAGCTTGGCTTTTGTGGCTAACATTCAGCATGAATTTCCTCTCTGGAACAATGTAGTCCCGTGTGCTCTGGTCAGCTCACTATACTAAGCTTAGGGCCTCTGAGGGTCGAGGGCCTTTTCTGTAACTAGGACTGCCGGTGTCTGTGGCGGGAATATGAACTGCTGAGGATCTCTGGCTTACATTTTCTCTATAATGTAAGTCCCTCCTGGCTCCAAGCCAATCCAGCCAGTTGTCTTGATTCCCTGTGTATGCCGCTATCTCCTGCTTCTGTGCCTCACATTGTCCCTATTGCTTCCTTGGTGGATCCCAGCATTCTCCCCTAGATGCTTTATTTTTCATATGGTTATCTACTTGCTGTCTTGGTTCTTCTTTGTGGAGGAGGCAAGACCTGAACACATCCAGTTAGCTGTCTTGATCTAGAAGATTCTGTTTTTATATGTAATATATTGCCCACACATTTCTTATTTCTTTAAATATATTTATGCCAATTAACAATTGTTCCATCAGTTCCGTTAATTTTGTTTACATTGTTATAAATTTAATATGTTGTTTTTCTTATTTGCATTTGCATTTCCCAGCTTATTATGATTTTCAACTGAGTTTATTATCAGAAGTAGTATTCTGTTAAGCTAGCAATCTTTTTTAAAAAAGTATGATTTGAGGTATTTTCTAATTTCTGCGGGCTTAAATACCCCTCGACGACAGATGTCAGGCAATCATCATCACTCTATTCAGAGCTGGGAAGAGTGGCGTAGTCAAGTATGAGAAATGGGTACAAATGGGTTCCTTCACACCACCAGATTATTTACACTAACACATTAAATAGATTAAGGAGGGAGAAGGCTAGGAACAAATTTTGCCTTTCCAGTGATTTGGAGGGAGGAGGCAATCAGCCTTGGGATGAGGATCCCTAACTCTCAGAAGATCTAGTAAGAATCCTATCCCTTTGCTTTTACTCCAGCAGACAATTTCTCTCTTCAAGTAGTCATCATTGAATTCTTAGAAATATGAAGCCTTGAAAGAAAACAGCCACCTTCAGTTTGCATTATAATATCCCAAAGATGAAAGGAAGAATATAAATTTGTAGATGGGGAACTCAAGTATAGTTTTTATCAGTCAGGTGTAAGAGTCATGTATTTATTATTAAAAGATAATGATCGTATGAGGAAGTGGCCAGAGCCAATCTTCAAAACTTCTCTTCACTCAATACTACTCTTACTGCTGCCCTCAGATGTGTTTCACCCTAGGATGCAACCAGGAACCCTTTCCCCAACTTATGACACAGACACAGACACACACACACACACACACACACACACACACACTCTCACAAGAACCTTTTTCTTTCTTCATTTTTTTCTTTTATTTCTTTTCTTTTCTTTTCTTTTTTTTTTTTTTTTTGAGATGGAGTTTCTTTCTTGTTGCCCAGGCAGGAGTGCAATGGTGTGGTCTCAGCTCACTGCAACCTCTGCCTCCCGGGTTCAAGTAATTCTCCAGTCTCAGTCTCCCAAGTAGCTGGGATTACAGGCGCTCTCCACCATGGCTGGCTAATTTTTGTATTTTTTGTAGAGACCGGGTTTCACCATGTTGGCCAAGCTGGTCTCAAACTCCTGACTTCAGGTGATCTACCTGCCTCGGCCTCCCAAAGTGCTGGGATTACAGGCGTGAGCCACTGTGCTCGGCACAGAACCTTCATTTTTCAAATGTTTCTAACATTTTGTTGTTTTTGTAAATAATTATTATCTTGTATGCTTCTTCTCCTTCATTTACTTAGATTCATCAATGTTGATCCTGAGGGAAGAAGCTTGCAAATCTTCAAAACTTCTCCCCAGAGCATCTTATCATTTATATATAGCTAAACTCTTGTGAATTGCACTCTGACATGGCTTTGAAGCAGGGTATATCTGTGAAAATTAGATATAATTTATTTATTTATCTTGTCTACTGATGGCTTTTCACTTTATGGGTATTAACAGAAGTTTAAAATTCAACTAAAAGACAAATAACAAATTAAATCAAATTCAGCTGTTATTTCGCATTTTATAACAAAAAAGGGATAATCATGATTGCCATAAGTAACGAAAATAAGAAAATGGCCTTTGATTTCTTCTTCCCACTGTCTTTTGCCTTGAAGTTGCCTGTATGTTGAAAAGAAAATAACTTATTATAGACTCAAATATAAATCAAAATAAATGTTGCAGCATAGTTTTACCAAAATATCCTGTGTACAAATCCCTTACTAATTTAACTAGGTATCTAGAGCTATGTGGATATTGGGAACAACTGAAAGTATTTATAAAACTGAAACACCTGAGGAAGATAATTAGATTGTACACATGCATGAAGGCTTCATCTTTTACCTAAAAGACTATTTACTAGAACTTTTAAGAATCTTGAGATTAAGCAATAATAATGTGTACAGAATCATTTTATGGAAGGTTGGATGTAAAAGCTCTTCTCTGAAATTTCCCACAAATTTGAAAACAGAATAATTATCGTGTAACAAAGTGATTCATCTCCTTGAATACAGCTGCATGGAAAATTGCTGAAATTGAGACATTTGAATATCAGACTATTTTCTTAATTTTTATGAGAGTAGAAAGTATATTTTAAATATATTTCCTTGCATAAATCATATATGTCCTTTTAAATAATAAAATAGTAATGTTGGTATTTAATTCATTATAAATATCTTATAAATATTTTTCCTTGCATAAATCATATATGTCCTTTTAAATAATAAAATAGTAATGTTGGTATTTAATTCATTATAAATATCTTATAAATATCAATTTATACATTTGGTAGAGCAGGAAGTAACTATTTAATTCTATATAATTAGAAAAAGTGAAAAATATTCAAGAATCAGAGGGTACTCAAAGGTGTGTTTACATTATATTGTCTTTGCATCTATAACAGCAGACACATACCTCTATTAACCAAAAAAAACTTTGATTTGCAACTCAGTGATTAAGCAGTTCCCTCTAGGTGAAAACTACTCATTCACTTTTATATTTTCAATATCTAATTTTAAAATATTCCAATTAATTTTTACAAATTCTAAATTTTCATATGTCTATCTGTCATTGTTTAATAAAATTGCAGTGGTTCAAATGAACCCCACCTATGAAAACAAACTGAGTGCTCGTGTGGTTTATTTTTAATATGCACAAAATGGTCAAAATGTCAGCATATCATACTTACATTAATATTTTAGTCAAATTTTTACATTAAACATATTAGACTAATCAATTCTGTCTTCTACAAAGAAATTTTCCTGTATGGAGGATGTATACCTTCTATTTTTGAGTAGTACCACTTTTTTTCACTCTAAAGAATAAATAATGCTTTTTATAAACCAGGAAATTCTACTGAAAGGTATAGACTAAGTTCAACAGAGTAATCTTCATCCACAACATACATTTTTGAAAAACAGAAACATACTTTGTCTAAAAGTAGAAAAAAATGAAACCAGTAATAATGGCAAACAGGCTGATTAACCTTTTCCATAGGCAATGCCCAAACTTGCTTCTAGTGCAAATAAGATCAGTTTATTATTGAATTCACAGCTTCATAGAAGTGACAATTATTAAAGCATGGATAATATTCACACAAAGCTAAAAAATATTCGATATTCCCCGTTGACTTTTGTTCCTTTCACTTTAGAGATTCTACTCAGATTTTTATACATTAAATAATGTTTGTGAAATAATGTAAGCTTCACAGGAACCATATTATTTCATTGCAAGACATTAAGTCATAAATCTTCAACATGGTCTAGCATCTATAGCTTTATAGGGAAAAGCTTCCTTGGAAATAATTCTATTCTCCTGCTTAGTAGCAAAAAAACACCAGCACTTACATGCATGATGTTTCATAAGCACTGATGAATAATGTTGGAATTACTGAAGTAAAATTATAAGTTTTCAGACTATCATAAGCTTACATTATTTTCTTATGTATCATAGAAAGTATTACTTGTAAAAATTCCTTATGTTTAATAACCTAAAATGTCTATATTTACTTCAGGATGTTTAAGTGCTTGAATTTTAAAATAAAAAAATTAAGTTTATAATAAGACAATTTTATTTTAAAATCTAATAGAAAACACAGTAGTAAGATAGTGGCATGGATTGCAATCAAGAACAACACAGTAATTTTTCTATGACTTCAAATGATTAGATAAGCATAGTATGAACATAAGAATTGTCATGCTAGTACTATACAATGTTAAACTGGAAGTTTTGACTGGTGTCCTAAAACACATATAAGATATCAAAGTGAGATGGGCAAACAAAAATGCAAATTTATGAAGGAAATCAATTGGAAGCATTTCGGTGGCTCTTGAAATCTCTCATTAACTTTAAGCATATGAAAGCATTAAAGAGAGATTTTATGCAACGAAAATTAATGGAAAATGTGTTTGTAGAAAGAGTTACTACTTTGCTATGAATTCCAACACTCACAAGAAGGAGAGAAAAGAGTTTGTATGCGCCTTTCACCATAAGAGTAATGAAAAAGGCAACAGTGAGACAGCTTAACAGTAGTGATACTTGCCACCCGCATTTAATGGGATCCTTTGGACTTGCGTCTGACACTCATACCTAAAGAGCCTTTTTGTTTGTTTTTGTTTCATTTTGAGATGAAGTCTCACTCTATGGCCCAGGCTGGAGTGCAACGGCACAATCTTGGTTTACTGCAACCTCCACCTCCCGGGTTGTTCAAGCGATTCTCCTGACTCAGCCTCCCAAGTAACTGGGATTACAGGCACACGCCATCATACCTGGCTAATTTTTGTATTTTTAGTAGAGACGAGGTTTTGCCATGTTGGGTAGCCTGGTCTCGAACTGCTGACCTCAGGTGATCCATCTGCCTCAGCTTACTAAAGTGCTGGAATTACAGGCATGAGCCATCCCACCGACTATGCCTGAAGAATCTAAGACTAGATTCTGCCACCATTGGACTATGGTAATACATAAGATAGAGATAAAGATGTAAGGGACAGAGCGAGATCAAGAGCAAGAGCGAGAGCGAGAGAGAGAGAGAGAGAGAGACATTTTAGGAACTAACATCATCAACAAGATGGCAAATTGTATTTCCAATGGACTGAGATGAGTCATATAGAAAATAATTCTATATTAAAATTTTATATTTAGTCCTTAAAGATCTTGTGATGACAGGAACCAGTGAGGAAACTCCTCAGGAGGTGATGAAAGAGCAGCAGCGAGAGTATAAAATCTATATTGTCTGAAATGGATGTTGTGGGTAGAGGAGAACAGTAGAGAACCTCTAAAAAGCCATAAAATGTCCTACATGAGAATCAGTTTTAAATCCTTCCTAAGATTAGTGTTTAACTCACACTTTAAGTAACTACAACTTAAGTAAGTCTCTATTTTCACCTATTTGATACCCACGTTCTCAACCCTAGAATGGCCAAAAATCATGAGAAGCAGGCCAGAAGAAAAGGAAATTATTCACAACCTTCATCTCATCTGCCATTAGCATAAATACACCCCACATGAATATGACCCATCAGGGAGAGTGAAGAATGTTTAAATCAAAACCAAAATTCATGAAACTGGAGATTTTACTTGAGACTTATTTTTGGATTTAAAATAAGAGAAAGACTATTCATTATTTTAGAGTAATTATAAAAGTCATTATTCCTCCCAAAGATTTTATGCACTGTCATAATGAAAACTCTGTCTACTAAATACATTTTAAATGGTAAGAAGGAAAGAATAATAAAATTACTTTTTTTATATCCTATGAGCCAAGTTTATTGGATGTACTGCTTACAAGAAAATCACATCTGTATTTTGTATGCATGAAAATATACACAAACATCCTTGAAGATAAAATATTTTTAATAATGCAATAGTGTTATCTTCCAACTTAAATTTATATTTCTAAAAATTATGGTCAGCAAACATTGATGGCAAAGATTCTACATTGTTTCTACTATACAAGACAACTTAAAATCTGCCAAATATCACCACAGTGTTAGGAAAACCTCCAGGCAACAGAAGTGTTCAATATAGAAGCAAAGTAAAATTAGAGAGAGACACAATCCACTCAGATGCTCTTCAGAATAACCTGTAGGAGTCAAAAGAATTTTTATTTTTACGCATATACATATATTCTATATGGTTTCATGGCAATTATAAATACTCAGACAGTGTAAAATAATGGATTTCACATGTAACTGTAAAACTGTAAACTTTATAAGAGCACTGTTGAAATCCTGTTAATCACTTATTTTCTATATTGGAGATTACAAAAACTACCCTACTCTTTTGACACCTCATTTTAAAAATAACAAATTTGTCATTAAAGCAGAGGTACAAAGTCAAGAGTATGATATCTCTATTGACACAGCAGCATGAGAAGCCATAAATATTCGATTTTCATATTAACTTGAAAGTCCAACTCATAATAAAGATAAATCATTCTTGGTTCACAGAAAATAATCAAGAACTATATAAGGGAATTACATAATCTCCTACATATTTAAAGATTATATTAAAAACTAAGTTGCTTAAATTTCTACTTTTCAGTGTTATCAACTTTCCCCATATTCTAATTTTTCAGCTAATAAAAAGCAATTTATCCCCAGTATTCTTCTGAAACTGTTCTTGACAAGATCATTTGTTCACCTCCACCGCTCAATCCTTAGTTTTTATTGTACTCAAGTTCTGAGTGGTATTTATTACAGCTGGCTGTTGCCTAGTTCTTTAAATACTTTCTGTACTTCATCTCTAGGTCACCTCACTGACCTGGTTTTCCATAACACTGTCATTCCTTTTCAGTCTCATTTACTTAATTCTTTTCTTCTCGATCTCTGTTCTCAGTATCTTCTCTCTTTACATCCTCTTCCTTGGTGATTTCATTCCCTAAGTTTAAAAACCATGTATACTTTGATACCTTCCAGATTATATCTACAATTCTGACAACTCTCCTAAACTCTTGAATCACATATCCTAGTGCCTGCTTGACATTTCCACTTAGATGACTAATAAGTATCCAAATATTACTTGCTTAAAATACACATTTCTACCTCCAAATATGGCACTTCCTCTTGTCCAGATACTTGGTCAAAAAAACTTTGTGGCATCTTGAATCATCTCTTTATCTTACATCAAATGCATCAGTAGATCCTCTTGCTTTTCAGTCACAGGTTCCAGTCAATATCCTTTGCTGTCTATACTACTGTTAAAGTCAACTTACCTCTCTGTTCCCACTTTTTCTTTTCCAGGTGTAGTATTCTTCTCCATGGAATCTAAATAACCTTTTGAATACGTCAATCTTATCATATTCCTTCTCCATGTAGCTTCTCCAATAGTTTTTTTTTATACACAAAGGATAATGTCTGACCACCTTACAATGGCTACCTCATCATATGAACTAGCACATAAAAATCTCCTTACTTTATATCTCTATTTTCCTTGCACATGCCATTTCAGTCAGACTGCATTCCTTACAGTTCCTTAAACACAATTAACAACACCTACTTCTGGCTTCTCAATTCTTTTCCCAGATATTTACATGGCACCTGCTATGGGGTGAATGCATTCCCTAAAATTCATGTGTTTGAAAATTAATCCCCAATACAACAGTGTTGGGAGATGGGGTCTGATAGGAAGGTCATGAGGGCTTTGCCCTCATAAATATGTCAATGCTGTTATAAAAAGGGCTTGTGGGATTGGGTCCCCTTTTATGCCAGATGAGGACACAGCATCAGTTCCCTTTTGCTCTTCTTTTATATCTAACTTGCTCTAACCTTTCATCATGTGAGGATGCAGCAAGAAAGCCCTCACGAGACAGCCAAACCTGCTGGCACCTTGTCTTCGTCTTTCCAATCTCCAGAACAGTAAGAAACACATTTCTGTTCATTATAAATTACCCAGTCTGTGGTATTCTGTTACAGCAGCAGACTAACATAGTGCCCATTAACACTTTATTCAGATGTCTGCTAAAATGTCACTTCATAAGAAAATCCTCCTCTGGCCTATTTTATTAAAATTCTGACTCATATTACATTCTGTTCTAGTTACCTACTTTATTTTACTTCTTAGCATTTATTACCATCTAGTATTATATTTTATACTTCCTTGTTTATTGCCTGAGTACTCCTTCTAAAATGTCAGCTCTGTTAGGGAAAAGACATTGTCTTTTACTCACTGCAATATAGTATCTAGCAGACAGGTGGTACTAAAAAAAATGTACTAAGCAAAGGAATGATTACAACATATAGTATACTGGAAAAGTGTTACTTCCATAATGTGAAGAGTGTTCAAATATTCATCTTCAGGGTGATGTAATGTTAGTGTACCTGTGTCAAAATAATTGAATCAATGGAATATATGATTACAATTCCTTCAATTTTAATAGAAATTAAAAATGTATGTAGATATGTAAAAATTAATTGAAGTTAGAAATATCTACTAGGTAAGCTATGTATCAGACACATGTTAGCTTAATTGAAGTTAAACCAGAACTCTATATACAAATATATGTTTAATGTATACTTATATTATTGTATATCCTATAACTAATAATTCTATATGTGATAACATAATTAATATATATTTCTAACTTCAATTAAACTAATGCTCAGAAATAGAAGTTTTTAAAAATTTCTGCAGAAAATCATATATTGAAGCATTGCTAATATTAAATACTCAAGACAATGAGAAAATGACAGACCTGATATTTATCGTAATCTCACAAAGAATATAAGTCATACTAAGAGGTTTAAATAAGGACAGTCAAATGATATATGAAAAGTCAGCAAAAGTAATCATGGCGACTATGATTTTAACCTACTATTGTTAATAATAGGCTATGCTAATTGTATATTGCACTTTGAGATATTTGCTAATGGTTAACAAATGTAACCATTTGTAAAGTCACACCTCTACAATTACAGTGATATTTAATGAAATATAATTCTCATTTCAATATTTGACAAATTCATTAAATTTATCAATATACATATGTTTGTAAACCTTTTATGATTTCTAATCTAATAATCACATGCCAATGAGAAAACAATTTCCACTCCAATTACACACAATCACTAAAGTGATACACAGAAAACAATGTAGGAATAAACTAAAATTCATTTATCTGCTAGCAAATGATGTTGAGATATCTATAAAGAAAGACAAATTTAGAAACATGATGGAAATTTTAGAGTCTGATTCAAAAGTGAGATGCCTCCAAATTATAATTTTTATGTGTTACTAGAAGGAATATTAGTTTATAAATGATGTACATTCAATAAGAAATCGTATTATTAAAATTAATAGCATGCTTCATGGATAAATGAGGACAATGTAATCACGGCTATATTGGTTTACTTCATTGACATTAAAATTGTGATAAATTTATCTAGTTTGTATTACCTGTATTGGCCATGATTCATAAATGAAAAGATGTTTTTAAGACATTGAGCCAATATTCACAATGTACTATACATTTATATCAATGGAATTAATGTTATATACTCCCAACATTTAGAATGGAATATAATCTTGAAAATACTTTCCATGAAATGGGTCTGGGGCATCAGACAGTTGCCCTGCACAGCTAGCTGTTCAGTATTTCATTCAAAACAGTTGTTCCAAATTTGCTGATATAGTTTATGATGAAAAGTTCTTGTCAGTAAATGGTGCCAAACAGCTATTTAAGGGGAAAAAAATAATTCATATACTGTAGTCTACAGTTTCAAATTAGCATCACTGTTTTACAAGCAAATGATAAATGTTTTGAATGAAAAGTGTAATACAGTGAGAGCATTTGACTAGGAATATTTGAAATATTTGAAATATTTTCATCATTGTATAAGTATTAACAGAAATAAAGTCCTCCACATCCTGGCCAATGTTTGATATTGTCAGTCTTTTATATCTAACTTGCTCTAATATATATGTAGTCATTTCTTATTGTGGTATTAATTTACATTTCTCTAATGACTAATGATGCTGAGCATGTTTATATGTGTTTATTTGCTATCCATATATCTTCTTTCATAAAGTGATTGTCCAAATATTTTGCCCATTTAATTTTTTAAAATTGAATTGTTTGTTTTCTTAAGTTTTGGGAATTATTTATATATATTCTGGACATAATTTTCTTAATAAATCTATGATTTGCAAATAGTTTTCACCCATCTATTAAAACTCTCACCAAAGATTCAAAGTTCAAAATTTTATGAAGTCCAGTTTGTCATTTTTCTATATTTATGTTTAGTGCTATTTGTGTCCTATTTAAAAAGTTTTTGCCTAACATAAGTTAACAAAGAATGTTGTCTATATTTTTTTTCAGAGGTTTTATAATTTAGGTTTTAAGTTTTGGTCTACAGTAGATTTTGAGTACATTTTTATGTCTGGTGCAAGGTATACATCTAACAAAGGATAGGTAACAATTTTATAGAAAAGTGTAAATCTTTACTGAAATTTCATACAGTAAAGAATACTTTAAAAATATAGAGAAACCTTCATGATTGGACATTTCAATAGCTAAAGTTGTCAGTTCTACCCAAGTTATGCTATAGATTCACTGAAAACAAATCAAATTCTAAAAAGTATTGTTGTGTGTGTGTGTGTACTTGATTAAAACCTCACAAACATTTTCTGTAATTTTATGAAAAAGTAAAGATTACGGAGTAATCAAGGCACCAGTGAGGATAATATATAAAAAAAGACGTTGCATGAAATTTATAATTTAGAAAGTAGAATATTAAAATGGAATTAGATTAGGAATCAATAGAATCCAATAGTAATTTTATGGCACAACTAGCATTTTGTTTAATAAAGAAATTTTCAACAAATAATGAATTGAGACATCCAAGAGAAATTTGAGGACAACCACACATACACCAAAATCCTTTCCAGGTGCATTACCAACTATTATGAGAAAGATGAAAATATGAAACTTTGAAATCTCCTATTCATCAAAGTACAATATAAATAATATCAATATAAATTATAAATATATAAATATATATTATTTATAAATTATAAATAAATATTTATATATATTTGTATACATATATAAATTATATCACTTATAATTTATATAAAATATAAATTTTATATTTTTACTTGAATTATAAGTTTATATATTATATATTATAAAGTTATAACATAAATTATAAATATATATTCTATTATATTACACATTTATATATTGTATATTCATAAAATATAAATTATAAAGTATAGTATAAAGCAAGTAGAAGGGCAAGATAAAAACTGGAAGATTGCATTTTTAACATGTAATACTTCTAATTGATTAATATCTCTAAAAATAAAGGATGACTAAAAACAATAATAGCATTATAAAAATACACAGAGGACCTCACAAAAAATGACAATTTTTTTCAGACTGTGTCTCACTCTGTCACCCAGGCTTGAGGCCAGTGGTGCAAACGCAGCTCACTGCAGTCTCGATATCCCAGGCTCAACCCTCCTCCTTCAGACTCACTTGTAGCTAAGACCACAAGCACACACCACTACACCCGGCCAACGCAAATTTTTAAATTAGTACTACATAGAAAAGAAAATTTAATTGGCTGAATAAAACATGTTCAACCTGAATATTAACCAAAAAATCACAAATTTAAACAATCTTAAGATCAAATTTCACACCCAGCACATTTTTAGAAATTCAAAAATTTGATCATATCCATTACTGATGAGGATTCAGAGCAAATTAGTCTTGCAAATTGATAGGGATACTAAACATTTAGGGAGAAAATCGGCATCCGTTATCAATTACAGTTTAAAAGGTTCATTCTCTATAGCTCTAAAATTCTACTTCTAGATATTTCCTTAGGGAAACTCTTAAACATGTTGACTAAGAGAAAACTACAAGATTATTTATAGCAATAATGTCCATCAACAATATTATCCTCTAAGACATGTCTTCATAAAATTTTTCACATCTGACTTTTCATTTAACTTCTGTCTATGCCTACTTAATGACATAAATTAAAGATTAATTCATGGACTACTAGAATAGAAATAATGTTCTTAAAATTTAGAAAAACATATTTTAATACCCTGCTACATTATTTCATCCATAAACTGAGAAATGAGGTATAGATACCCAAGAAAATGAAGCCAATTACCATCTGAAACACATAGAACAATGTTTCACTAAGGGTCTCAAATCTGGCTTTCTTTAACCCATATTGTGACAGTGGTTTGAAAGACAATCCCTGAAAAGCAGTGAAAAGTTTCTGCAAATGTCTAAACTTCTCTCTTTTACCTGTTAACATGTAGAATTGGAGGTAATATCATGATAAGATCTTACTATAAATTATAGTTCTATGCATCTGTAAACACTTGATTAATACTAAGGAGCCATAGCAAAGCAGAAAAAAAAGTCTTTTCAGTAAATAGTGCTAAATCGATTGTATATCCATATGAGAAAGATTAAAAATTTACGCTGTCTAATGCCTTATACAAAATAAACTACAGTTGGATTGCAGATCTAAATATTAAAGTAAAACAATGAAGTTACTATAATATATTAGCATGTCTTCATGAGTTTAGGGTGAGCAAACAATCCTTAATGGACACAAATTACACTAACTACAAAGTAAATAATTAAGACATCAGATTGTATTAAAATTAAAAACATTTGTCTATCCAAAACATAAGAAAAATGAAATACCAACCACAGAGCAGCAGAAGATGTTTGGAACAAACATAACTAACATGGACCATTAATGAGAACATTTTCCTCAAATAGATAAGAAAAATGACATTGAAAATACACACAAGATACTTAAAGAAAAACAACCCAGAATAGTCAAGTATTAAAAAAAAAATACACGACATGATGCTCATTCTTATTAGTCATCAGGGAAACAGAAATGAAAAACACTAAGTGATAATACAAAATGAATGGCTAAAATTGAAAAGACTGAAAATATACGATTGAGGTGAAGAAGGAGCAATAGAAACTTTCACATAGAACTGAAGGAAGTATAAGTTGGTGCAACCAGTTTGGCAATACGTTTTGAAATCTTGCATGCACATGCTAATAAATTTTACTCCAACAGAAGAGTACTCATGCATATTGTATATCAAAGACGTGAATGTTCATAGCACCACTGTGGTCTATATTTATTAATATTATACCAATTAATGTGCAATATGATTCTTATCAACCATATAATCCTAGTTATATCACTCTTAAATGTATGATTTTGTTGACATATGTTAAACGGCATATTTTATAAACCTTACAATATATTGTTGCTATTTTTACTTTATACATACTGTTCTGTGGAAATTAAGAAAAAATAGTCATTTATATCTAACAAAATATTTACAGTTTTGGGGGTTTTTCATCTCATCCTTTGGATGTGTGTTTCAATCATGTTTCTTCTGCCTATATAACTTCATGAGTTCTTGCAGTACAATCTGCTAAGGACAGATAATCTCACTTTTACTTTCTCTGAAAAGAGTTTGTATTTCACCTTCAGTTTTGAAAGGTATCTTAATTGAATATGGTATTCTAGACTGTTATTATTTGTATCACATGAATACATCATTTTGTTTTCTTTTTGTCTTCCTCTGTTTGTGATAAGAAGGCAGACATCATTGTTTCCCTGAATGTTAATTGTCTTACTGTGGCAGCTTTATGAAATGTTTCTTTCTCTTTAGTTTTTATCTGTATGACTATGATGGGCCTAGATATGCATTTCATGTCATTTGTCCTGCCTGAGGCTCTCTGAACATTTTAAATCGGTAGGTTATTTGCTGGTTTATTTTTAATCATATTTGGAATGATTTCTCCACTATATCTTCAAATATTCTTTCCTCTTGGTTCCTCTCCCCTTTTCTGGAATTTTAATTACATTTAGGGATAATCATTTGAAATTTTCCTATGTTGCTAATTCTCTTCAGTTCTGTGATTGTTCAGACTTTTTAAGTTTTTCTGTCTTTCAGTACAGTGGCCTTTTTTTGTGCTGTGTTCAAACTACAGTTTCTTTGATCCAAGGAATTCTTCAATTCAGATGTTTTTGTTTCAATTCCAGAATTTGTTTGGTTTGTTGAGTTTAGTCAATATAGTCAGAAATTGAGCTGTATTTTAGTTTTGTTCTTCTTACGGTTACCTTCAGTGCACTACAGACCTCAAACTGTTCTTGATTCACTTTGTGCTTAGGATGTGGGCTGGTTATCTGGGAGATTTTCTCAAAGTCTGCTTCACCCTCAACTAAAGACTTCCCTTTACACTTGTGCCCAGAGACGGTCTCCCTTCATCTTCTTATCCTATCCCCAGTAATATTCTAATGTAAATTGATACTCAGTTATCGCCAGTTGTATTATACAAGTCATCTGGCTTTTACATACTATAAGAATGGGAACAGTGCTCTTTCCAGCTAATCCTACACTGAAGCTGAGAATCCCCCTCTACTATCATTGTCTCTTTATTACAAGTTGCATTTTTCTGCATCTTTTTATGTATTTTAATTTTTGATATTAACTTTTTATAAAATAATAAAGATTAAAGTGCTTAATTTTGTTGTAGTGTAGTTTGTTTTTCCAGTAAATTTCCATCTGAACTCCTTTTGTGGGGAGTTAATATGAAGCTAATTATAAGTTGAGCTGAGTTGGGGCTGGTTTGAAGTGTTATTTAATTTCAGTTCAACTCTGAATTCAATACTAGCTGGGTACTTGAACCTAAACCTAGATGAGATTATGATGGCTGTCTGTGTTTCCCACTTTACAACCACAGATGCTAACTGAGCAAATTCTTATAGGTTATAACTGTGTGGTCAAGAGATTTATTTCTACCCTGAGGCTCTTCCAGATTCCAAACAGTCATTCCAACACAAGCATTCATTACAAGTTTAGCTTGTTTCTCCCCATCCCCAAAAAGTCTCTTCTTCTGTGGCAGGTATATTCCTCAGTCCTCCCTTAACTTGCATCCCCCAGTCATTTCTCTTGGGAATTGGGTTTCTAGACATTCTTTTTTTTTGAGGCGGAGTCTCACTCTTTCGCCCAGGCTGGAGTGCAGAGGTGCGATCTCGGCTCACTGCAAGCTCCGCCTCCCCGGGGTCACGCCATTCTCCTGCCTCAGCCTCCCGAGTAGCTGGGACTACAGTCGCCCGCCACCACGCCCGGCTAATTTTTTGTATTTTTAGTAGAGACAGGGTTTTACCGTGTTAGCCAGGATGGTCTCAATCTCCTGACCTTGTAATCCGCCTGCCTCAGCCTCCCAAAGTGCTGGGATTACAGGCGTGAGCCACCACGCCCGGCCGACATTCTTATATCCAATACACTTAGATGACTTTAAAGCAAAGTGTGATTTTGTTTGTTTATCCAATGTTGTCTTGTATGATGAGAGAAATCTCACATCCTAACTGGAACTGGATTTATTAGGCAATCATTTCTAATTTTATGAAAGAAGAGCTCAAATTTTCTACTTAAAGTGCCTCATTTGCTGGCTTGCAGTGGCTCATGCCTGTAATCCAAGCACTTTGGGAGGCCGAGGTGGGTGGATCACGAGGTCAGGAGTTCAAGACCAGCTTGGCCAACACAGTGAAACCCCGTCCCTACTAAAAATAGCAAATTAGCCGGGCTTGGTGGCACGTGCCTGTAGTCCCAGCTACTCAGGAGGCTGAGGCAGAAGAATCGCTTGAACCCTAGGAGGTGGAGGTTGCAGTGAGCTGAGATGGCACCACTGCACTCCAGCTTGGGCAACAGAGTGAGACTTTGTCTCAAAAATAAATAAATAAATAAAGTGTCTCATTCTAGCTAAGAGAGTTCCCATTTGTGTATAAAGCAGAGTTAAATGCTTTTTCCTTTTCTGTCAAAGGGAATAATTCAACTCTCCAATTACAGTTCTTTTGCCTAGGTCAAAAGGTTGATGAGCTAACACAACTTTCTTATTTCTTGTCACACTAACATGACTTTCCATTGAACAATCACATATATGTGGTTGACAGAAATACACATTGTGGCTTACAGCTGTAATCCTAGCACTTTGGGAGGCCGAGCTGGGTGGATCACTTGAGGTTAGGAGTTCCGGACCAGCCTGGCCTATATGGTGAAACCCTGTCTGTACTAAAAATACAAAAATTAGTCAGGCGTGGTTGCACCTGTAGTTCCAGCTACTAGGGAGGCTGAAGCAGGAGAATCACTGAACTGGGAGGCAGAGTTTACAGTGAGCCAAGATGGGACCACTGCACTCCAGCCTGGGCAACAGGGCAAGACTCTGTCTAAAAAAAAAACAACCAAAAAACGTAAATACATATTGTAGTTGAACAGATGATAATTTCTTTACCTTTACTTGCATAACAGGATCCAGGAACCATTATTTGAGTAAGGTACATTCCAGAGGCTAACAGAACTCATATTTTGCTATAGTAAGTGTAAAAATCACTAAATAATCTAATGTTTTCCAAGGAGTATTTGGATGATTTAACATGAACAGGTTAAAATAAAATCAGAATTTGTTTTATTGGTTTTACTATTATTTGATTATTTTCCATATTTGTTAAATAAAATATTTACCACTTTAAATATGCTATAACATATACAGGTTATTTTATATTTGCCTCACTCTGATAATAATCATGAAATGCAAGAAAAACATTATGACACATGAATAAAATTACATGTCCATATTTAATATTGAATATTTACCAGAATTTCATTTGATTCCCTATTGTTTATTTCTATAATCCATATTAACACAAATATTATTTTACAGCATGTTATTTGTTATAATAAAAATTATCCTAAATCACTGATTCCTCTTTAATATATCAATCTTCCTAACAATGTTTAATGCTTTTGAAAAGGTAATCCTCTAAATGCCTCTAAATTATCTTATATTAGATCATGACCACCTATTACTCTATAAATCCATAATCAGAAACTCTGAGTTTTTATAATCACCTAAATATATGTATTTTTTTCATTTTTAGTAGAACAATCAATAAAAAGAATACTTGTTGATAAATTAGTAGAGACAGAAGATCTTTCAATGACTGGAAAGTGAAATATTTCATCAGTCAACCTGATGTTCAGTTGTGATGCCATCATTTTACCTAATCAGAATATCTAAATAACTAAAATGTTTAATATTCATCTTACTGATTTACACAATCACAGAAATTATTTTACTCAGCCCCTATTACTATTTTAATTATCCATTTAAACCCATGTACCCTGCAATTCTCTAGGCTGAGGTAAAAAGAATATAAAATTGAAAACAAAAATAATTCAATCATTTAAAAAATCTCTATAACAATGATTTAGTTTTTCCAAAATAAATTTAGTTTCTTAGTTCTTTGTAATATTACTAATAATATAAAACTTGTTTACAGACTGAAGCAATGCTTTTGTTGTTCCTTTTTCATTACTGTCTATGAAATGAAAGCTAAAATACTTCAGGTTCAGAAGAAATCTCAGTATATATTAGGAAATAAGGGTAACAGACAAAACAAAAATTGTTACAGTCACATTTTTGCTATATGATTCCAGAATTTAGAACCAGTTCTTTATAATGCTGTATATATGAGAATTTCTTACAAATTTTCTTTTTGATAGATGGAACTTAAATTTGCTGTTTCATGTATCATGATTCACTGATAATGGAAAAGTAAAGACTAAAACATAGGAAGAACTCAGCTATGTCCTTGGCCAGAGTAGAGAAACCATACAGTTTAAAAATAATCCAACTGACACATTATCTGTTATGAAGCGTAAAAAAAGGAACTTGATATGAGTGTGTGTGTATGGATAAGTGTGCATAAACTTGTAAAGGTGAAAGAGGTTGCATAATGGGTGTGCGATGCAGTATTAGACTCATCAATCCAGGTACCACTGTATTTCTAAAAAAAGTTCTCTGTGAATAAATCATTAAAAATTAGTAAATATTTAATAAAAATGTTGTAGTATTATATTTGCAAACAGTGCTTCTTTCTTTGTGAACATAATTTGTCCTTTAAAAATCTAGTAAATCCCTGGACTTGACTGATTTAAAATATTTATTTGGAAGTTTACGGTCACCTATAAAGTTATGCTTCCCAGAGAAATGTTTACATAAGTTCAGAGATACATCCTAAAGCCTTTCATCCCAATCCTGAGGTACAGATTGTATAAGTAACTTTCCAGTCTGATATCACAATTATAATAACTTCTAGTGAATCATGATGAACACTATTGTATCTTACATAATACCAGATGACAGGACATAAATAATTGGAATCATGCAGTTTCTAGCTTTTGTTCAGATTGGTTCTTTCACTTAGTAATATGCATTTGAGATTTTCCCATGTTTTTATGGCTTGAGAGCTCACTTTTTATCACTCAATAATATTCCATTATGTGAGTGTACCTCGGTCTATCTATTCACCTATTGATATCTGAAAAAAAAAAAGAAAAAAAGGAAACTTAACTGCTAAATAGCTCTATAACAAAAATTTGTTTGAGATAAATCATAGACATAAAAAAATGAAAACGTAAACTGAAAAAATCTTCATGACCTAAGCCTAGGCAAAGATTTTTTAGAACTCAAAAAATATGAATGACAAAAAAAGGATAATTTCATGAAAATTAACTCTTTGATAATCAAAAGACATTTACATTAGTATTTTATTGTGATTTAACCACTTAATATAAACTTAGCAGCTTAATATCCATTTACTAAGTTACAGTTTTCTCATTCCAAGTCTAGCACAAGGTATTTGGTTCTCTGCTAAGTACATCACAATGCTGAAATCAGAGCATTTGCTGTATTTATTTCTTGTCTGTTGGCTCTGGGGATAAAATTGCTTCCGTAATTATTACTATTGACAGAGTCCAGTTCTGTAACTGTATGACTGAGGTTCGTGATTTCTTGCTGACTGTCAGTTCCTAGAAGCCATCTGCCTTCCTTACCACATGATGCCTTCCATTAGTAAGTAAGCAGGCCACATCAAATCCTGCTCATCCGTGGAGTTTCTGACTTCCGTTTCTGTGACCAGCTGCAGAAATATCTCAGCTTTTAAAGGGCTCAAGGTCTGCCTGGATAATATCTATAGTTTAAGGTCAACTGTTTCTTATTAAATAACATAATCACACAGGTTAAAAACTATCAAATTCACAGTCTGGAAGCTATATATCAAGTAATAGGGTGTAAGAAATCTGTGACCATCTTAGAATTCTGGTCACCATAGTCCACACTCTGATCCCAAATATTCATGTCCCTTACAAATAAGGAATATATCCACTCCTTCCCAAAGTTCCTAAGGATATCATCCCATTATAGCATCACCTCAAATCCAACATTTTATCCTAATATCCTTGGCTCAAAAGTAAAAATTTCTCATCTAAGTTTGGTAAAATGGATGCCCTGAGTATACATTCATTAAGTACAAATCCTGTGGCATATTTTTTTCTGAAAGTGTACTTTAAAACTAATTGGATAAGTTATTCATTGCAATACCTTCAGTATACGACAATGGATGGGATAGCCATAAGTCAACAATTATAGATACTTAAAACAAAGAGAGAATAGTTCAAAAAGAGAGAAAATGGAATGTAAAATAGAGTCACTGTTCCAAAGCAGTTTTGTAATCCAGCTGGGCAAACTAGAGTCAGAGTTTCTTAATTAGGGATGAGTCCTGGAAATAATCTTCTGTGGCTGTCATTATTGGCCTCTGGGGTGTCAGCCCCATCCTTGGTGCTCTGGCTTCCACGCTGTGAGACATGCTTCCATTTTCATGAAAGGTGTCCCCCCAAAAATAATTAATTAATTAAAGCTGAGCAGCTGTAATACCTTGTCAGTAAAATTTTGTGGGCTTTATGGCTTACTTTCATTTTGTATTCTCTGTCTCTCCCTTTGAGATAAGATCTTTCACCATCGCCCAGGCTGGAGTGCAGTGGCACGATCTCGGCTCACTGTAACCTTATGTTCAGTCCAACTTGACTGTGTTCTCAGTAATGGAACCTTGTTGGCCTTATGTGGATTTCACAAAGATTGACTCTTAGACAAAAACCATATCCATGGGTGATTCTGAGACAATCATTTCTCTATCTTTTGCTTCTGCTGACATGGCTAAGGGACAATGCCTGTAAACTTCCTGTGGTCTCTCAAGTTAGACTGATAAAATCTGTGAGGCATACTTTTGATCTATTTTATGTCATGCTTTTGCATGCAATTTTAATGTCTTTCACCATCAGGGCAGGCTAAGAATTTCTCAAATCGTCAACTTTGGTCCCTTTTTGTTGATTAGTTCTTTTCTATATTGATCTCTTTTCTCTCAGTTTACTATAAGCAACAAGAAACCAGGGAGTGTCCTCAACACTTTAATTAGAAATCTCCTCAGCTCTGTATCCAATTTGTCACATACAAGTTCTGCTTTCCACATAATTTCAGGACACATTTGGTCAAAGTTTCAGTAATCACATAAAAATATCTTTTTTCTTCTAGTCTCCAATAACATGCTCTACACTTCTTCTGGGTGGTCACCACATAATTCTTAAAGTCTAGAATTCTAACAAATGTATGTTAACAGTGATTTAAGGCTTCTGTTAAAACAATCCAGAATTTTTCTATAATGTTCCTCTCTTCCTTCTGACTTCTAGCCAGCACTGTCTTTAACGTCTCTATTTCTACTAACAGCACTGTCTTTAATGTCTCTATTTCTACTAACTATAGTGCCTGTCCAAAGGACTATAGGCTTTTTAATAACACTCCTTAACATTTCCTCAGCATTCTTCCACTGACCAATTCTAAAACCACTCCTACATTTTATATTTTGTTATAGAGGTACCATACTTCTAGCACAAAATAGGCCTCTTTAATTGTTAGAAACTTTTTAATACTACTAACATAGAAGCTTTATTTTTATTGCTACAAACTTAGCAACTTAAACCAACATCCATTTATTGACTCATACTTACATAGGTCAAAAATTTGACTCTGTGGCTGATTTCTCTGCTTGATATACGCATAGCAGAAATCAAGGACTGGTTGGATACAGTTCTTGCCTAGAGGCTTTGGGGAAAATTCTGCTTCCAAGCTCATTCTTCTTGTTAGCAGGATTCATTCAATGTGAGTGTAGGACTAAAGCTTCCTGGCTAGCTATCAGCTGGGGATGGCTCTAAATAACTATACTGCCTGCATTATTTAACACTAGTAGTCTCCCTCAACTTTCAAGCCAACAAGGAGTATCCAACCCTTCTCATTTTTTTAACATCTTACTTCCTCTTACTACCATCTTGGGAAAAATTGTTTGCAAAAAATTGCTTTTAAAAGACTCATGTGATTAGGTCAAGCACAGCCAAATGATCTCCCTGTCTGAAGTTTAATTGTGCCAAATAACATGGGATTTTACTTCTCTGATTATGTTAATGGGAGTACATTTTATCATACTGACTTTGCCAAAACCTTGATTTGAGATTTAACCACCAGAACTATAAGAGAATCAATTTATGTTGTTTTAAGACACCAATTTGTGTTAAATTTGATAAAATTTGTGTTAATTTGTTACAGAAACCTTATATTACCCGACTTCAAACTATATTACAAGGCCATTGTAACCATAAAATCATGGTACTGGTACAAAAAAAGGAACATAGACAAATGGAATAGCATAGAGAACCCAGAAATAAGGCTGCACACCTACGACCATGTGATCCTCAACAAAGGTGACAAAAACAGGCAATGAGGAAAAGACTCCCTATTCAATAAATAGTGCTGGGATACCCGGCTAGCCATATACAGAAGATTGAAACTGGACCCCTTTTTACATTATATACAAAAATCAACTCAAGATTTATGGAAGACTTAAATGGTCAACCCAGAACTATAAAAACTTTGGAAGATAACCTAGGAAATATCTTTCTGGACAGAGGAACTGGCAAAGATTTCATGACAAAGACATCAAAGGCAATTGCAACAAAAGCAAAAATTGACAAATGGGCCTAGTTAAAGTTAAGAGCTTCTTCGCAGCAAAAGCAACTATCAACAGAGTAAACAGACAGCCTACAAAGTGGGAGAATAATTTTGCAAACTATTCATTGGACAAAATATCCAACATCTATAAGGAACTTAAACAAGTTTACAGGAGAAAATCCAACAAGCCAACTAATCAAAAAGTGGGCAAAGGACATGAACAGATATTTCTCAAAAGAAGACAAATATGCAGCCAAAAATCATATGAATAAAACCTCAATTCACTGATCATTAAAGAAATGCAAATCAAAACCACGAGATGCTACCTTACACCAGTCTGAATGGCTATGACTAAAAAGTCAAAAAATAACAGATGCTAGCAAGGTTGCAGAGAAAAGGGAAAACTTATACACTGCTGGTGGAGTATAAATTAGTTTAATCATTTTGAAAGCAGTACGGTGATTCCTCAAAGAGCTAAAATCCTAACTACCATTCAGCCCAGCAATCCTGTTGCTGGGCATATACCTAGAGGAATATAAATCATTTTACCATAAAGACAAATGCATGTGAATATTCATTGAAGCACTATTCACAATAGCAAAAAAAAAAAAAAAAAAAAAAAAAACAACCTAACTGCCCACCAATGACAGACTGGATAAAGAAAATCAGGTACATACACACCGTGGAATACTATGTAGCCATGAAAAAAACAAGATCATGTTCTTTTGCAGAAACATGGATGGAGCTGGAGGCCATTATTCTTAGCAAATTAACACAGGAACAGAAAACCAAATATCACATGTTCTGACTTATAAGTGGGAGCTAAATGATAAGAACTTATGAACACAAGGAAGGAAACAGAATTCTACTTGAGGGGGAAGTGTGAGAAGAAGGAGAGGAGCAGAAAAGATAACTATTGGATACTGAGCTTAATACCTGGATGATGTTACAATATGTACAACAAACCACTGTGACACATGTTTATCTACGTAACAAACTTTTAAATGTATCCCCAAAGCCTAAAATAAATGTTAAAAAGAAATTAACATTTATGTTTCTTATAAAAAATTATTGTTGTCTAAATAATTAAGTAGGAATAACCTATACATTTTGATGAATAATTTCACTCCTTGCTTTTGAGTTTTTTCTTACTTTGCCTTACATTTAGCCATTTTTCAGTAAAATAATCTCCAAAAATTATATTAGTATCATTAAAATCTAAACTTGAATGAATTTCTATTTTATTTAAAAAACATGAAGAGGGAATCAATTATGACGAACTACCCCATAAAATTTACTATTTTTTCTGTGATTCAAAAATATCACCTGTGTGAGGTGGCTCATACCTGCAATCCCTACCACTGAAGAGGCTAAGGTGGGAGGATCACTGGAGCCCAGGAGTTCAAGGCTGCAGTGAGCCATGATCACGTCAATGCACACCAGCCTAGGTAACAGAGTGAGATTCTGTCTCCAAACAAACAAACAAACAAAAACTAAAATATATGTCCATTTATAACTAACATGTACTAATCATATAAATGCTTTTGAGCAACAAAATCCCATATGTTCATTTTCTGTCACGTTTATTTTCCTCAGAGAAGTAATTTCACTAAATTTTCATGTGAAAGGTCAGTAACCATTTATTGTAAGACATGGTTTGCTCTGTGTTGTTTTAGGTAAATTTCACAGAATTTTATTAACTTCTCAAAATTTGGATTTAAGATAATAATTCAACTGAATTAAGCCTCACGATGAAAAGAGCTAATTATCTAATAAAATATATGCATATATATGAATATGAATATATATATATGTTTTTTTTTTTTGAGACAGGATCTCACTCTGTTACCCAGGCTGGAGTCACTTACTCTTTATAATATACTAGTTATTTTGTTAAATATGATTATATAGTGCCCTGCAATATTAATAGGTTATCAAGAAGGTCAAAACAGTCAAGACCATTACTCCTAAGTTGCCTTGTTAAACCATAACTAAATTTAGAGATGATGCTTAGAAACATGCTTCTTGGGCTTAATATTTTACATGGTTGAATGAAGCAAATTTCTTTTGATGAGTTAATCCCCAGATGATCTAGTTAGCTACCATGGGGACTGTAGTCATAGCTTAGAGCTCTAAGTTCAGCAAACCGTGTGACCTCTGGACAGATAGATGCTCAGGTAAGAAACGGCTGAATGCAAATCTAAATCGGCACTACTAAAAATCAATGATCAGTGTGATGGTTAGTACTGAGTGTCAGAGACAAGTAATGTCTGTTCATACATCTTTATACTAAAGGATAGGATAAAAAACTCTCACGACTTAAGAAACATTACTGAGATGTAATCAGAATAAAAATCAGAAATTGTGACAAGTTAATAATTTCCCTGCAATTTATTAATCTAACTGTTCTTTATTCATTGCCTTTTTATAGCGTGATTTGTAATATAATTTTAAAGAATCATTTATGGATTTCAGTATTGTCTGAACATTTTATCTGTGTGTTTTTCTGCTTCCCACATCATTTTTGTATATGAATTATTGAAACAGAAAATAACTTCTCAGCTACTGAGTACTAGAAATATAAAACATTAATTAAAACTGTCAACTTTATGAAATTAATTAAGCGTAACTATACAATTATGAGACATTACAATTATCATTGTCATATATTTAAATGGTGTATTTGGATAGTTTTAGTTATTATAATAAAATAAATATATAACTAACAAAGATGAACAAAACTACATGGCTTATAATGAGTATACATAAGAAGACATGGTTTATATATAAATACCAGAACTTGTGTTCTAGCTGTAAATAGTAAGCAAAAATGTAAAACAACTAAATTTTATTCTAGGAATGCATCATTTTTGCCACCCATTCAAAATTCAAAACTTAATCCACCTATACGTTACATCACCAAGTAATTTTTAATAGAGCAATTAATGTATGGGCAGTAGCAGCCTTTCTAACATATCTGATTTAAAAATATATAAATATGAATAATAATATTAACAAACATTTAAAACACATTCATAGAATATGTATGATGAAAAAGTATGCATATTAATGCATATGACTTGTGTATTTATAATAAGTTACAAATACAGAAACTTCAAAAGAGAAATGAGCATATTCAGATTACATTTAATATTAAAATTTGTCATTGTCTTTAATTACAAATGTCCATTTAAAATAGTAAAATCATTGGTTGGAATTTCTTTATTAAAAGATTCTGATTTAAAACATTATTTTCCTATTTTAAAACACCATAAATATATCTTCACAATTCCCTATTTTTGAAGAGACAGTGCCACATTTGAGATGTTCAGGTTAGAAGCAGATCAAATAATATTTTGCTCAATCTGACATATGTGATTTGAATTAATCGACGGCTACACCCTATAAATTACTGTTGGTGAAGTACTGTGAAAAGAAAATTGACCTGAAATATTTATTTAACTACTCAGGTAGTAAATACCTGCTGTCATCTACCTATTTCTCAAGTGTTCTGGCTTAAGTTATACTGACTAAGATCCAAGACAGCCCTAAAGTTTATTTCAGAAAGCAGTGAACCTAAAAGTCTGCCTCAGAAAAAAATTGAACATAACCCCATTTGGTAAAACAATATTTGAGACTGAAAATTCATTAACTCTCACATTTCACCTATGACATATTTTAAGACAATTAAATGAGTTAAAATAGGTGAAAACAAACACGAGCAACAAAAGTTAAAACATAGAAACAACATTAAATTATGTTTTCCCTTTGCACCGATTTCCCTTATAACTTAATTTGATCTCCATGGAGTCAGATAATATTCCTCTCTTAATCTTCCTTTAGCAATTACAACAACTGAGCTTGCCAATATCACCAAATGAAGTGAACCAACAAATTGGATTGCCTCCACAATAGTTTACTCCTAAAGTAATATCTATTACATTACTATTTGGAAACTGTTATCAGAAATAGCATAAGCTGCAAAACTTTCACAGTTTGGATAAGGAAGTGAATTTAAAAACTAGATATCCTTAGCTTTTTTCATTTTTTTCCTGTGTGCCTGACATTTATTATGCAGAAAATTGCTTTATCAAATGTCACCTTGAAAAAGTTGCTTAAGTTCTCTGTCCTATATAAGATCAAAGTCAGCCCCTATTTATAACACTGAAGTGTGAGAATGTGCTACTGTGTTAACGCTCTATGTACTTTGAGCTCCAATGGCAAAGAGAAACTTGAGTTTATGGGCAGATTTCCAACCATGCTTTTTCAGAAGGGACTTAATAAATTCAGTGCTCTACTAAAATGTTTTAGGAAACAAAATATTACATACATTGAACTCCGATTATTTTATCTACAGTGCTTTCTCACACCGTATTCTTTATAAAGTGGCAGCCTAGACTAAGGCAGCCTCAAACTAAAGATTAAAAACATTTTCCTTCTTAACGATATTATCTACCTCACATCATGAACCTCGTGTTCTCAGAACTTCCTTTTCAAAAGTCTCAGGAAAATGAGGCAGAATTACTTAAAGCCTTCAGAAAAGCTAGACATGCTCATAAGTGATACATCTTCCCTCTTTCACAAAATGACTTCTATTACCCTACAAACCATTCTGATTTTCAGCTAAAATGCCTAATCAAATCAATCAAAACCTCAAAAGAACAGATGATCTTGAGATTGTAACAAGTAACCAGGCAGTTATGGGAATTCTCCAAAAATGCCAACGTCTATACTCAAACTTGCTCCTTATCCTGACAAAGAAGGAGATGTCTGTTCTCATCACAAGGGTTGTACCCAGGCAAGGAGTCTGAGGCTTTCAACAGTTTTCAGTTTTCAAGACCCTGCCAGGGACTGTCTACAGTTTTAGTTTACTCACTTCTGACATGTTCCCAGTGAAAATAATATTTTAAGAGACCAGGTTCATATCAAACATTTTTCCTTTTCTTGCAAATGAAGGGAACTCTTGATGTAGGCACTTCATACAGAACAAAGTTTCATAGGATGCTTCCTGTGCCTCCTATGAAGTGAATGACACTTCTATTCCTTGATACACAACGGTGAGGTCAGTGGGAAGAGTTATTGTGAAATTCTTTTCCATCAATCCAGCACCAAATAAGAAAGGTTACCCATTGGATCCAGTTTGTAAGTAAATGACAAAAAGTTTCACAGTGAGTTTCTCTGCAAGGGGCCATCAGAAATAAAGCCTGCAGTCACTCTGAAGTGAGTGTGCCTGTTACTTTCTCCCAGAGTGAGCAGTTAGGTACTTGCAGAAGCTGAGAAGGAAGTGCTGAATATCAGTCTGTAAGTGTTCTGCAGCTATTTCTTCTAGAGAAGAGATGAAGATGAAGATGAGGATAGCAAGTATTCTTACCCCTGGCCTGGGTGAGCAAGAGAAAGAAGCAAGGACATCGAGGTCCCTATTATCACTCACCTACACAACTCTGTAGGAGGGCTCTTAGGATTCTGAGGAGATGGAACAGGTGAACATGCTACATTAAGATGGTGAGTCCAAAGATGTTTGAGCTCACTGGAGATTCAAATGAAAAGATCCTGTTAACAATCAAGAGTGCTGTAGAGAGTGTAGGCCATGGAAAGTGCCCTTGGTACCAAGATTAATAAACTGAGGTATCTGGCTAAATTTAAGCACTGGCAAAACAGAATCAAAGCATCTATTTAAAATGTAGAACTCGACCAAGCAATGGAGATAGTGAGCAAGAAGTTTTGGAAAGGAAACAAGAAAATTTGAAAGACTTTCTGCAGGTATATCATTTTACAGGGTTCTGTGGTAAACCGACCAGCTGAGGAGTCTGTGTCTGCATCAATATTGCCTTTGAGAGGAACCTGTTGGATTCCTATTTTGTTGACTTTGTCATACAGAAGCCACTTGACCATTATTCTTTCAAGTATTTATTCCATTATTTTCTTCTTTCTTCTCCATCTTGTATTCCCATTGTATGTGTATTGCACATTTATTATTGTTCTTCAGTTCATAGATAATCTGTTCCATTTTTTCTTTACTATTTTCTCTTTGCTTTTCAGTTTGGGGAGATTTTATTGATGTATCTTCAACCTCTGATTCTTTCCTTGGCCATATTCTATCTACTAACAGACTTATCAAATATCATCATTTCTGTTATGTATTATTGATTTATAGCATTTTCAGTCGATTCTTAGAGTTTCCACATTTCTGCCTATATTGATCACTTTTCCATTAGAAACCCTAGCATATTAAGCACGATCATTTTAAATTCCTACTCTGATAATTCCAGAACATATGTCATATCTGCTTCTGGTTCTGATGCTTGCTTTGTACCTTTAGATTGTGTTTTTAGCTTTTTAGCATGCTTTCTAACTTTTTGTTGGAGCCTGAACATGATGCATCATGTAAAAGGACCTGAGGTAAATAGATTATTAGTGTGAGGCCTTATGTTTATTTGAGTAAGAATTATGATGCATGTATTGATTGCTCTGGGTGACAGAGGCTAAAATGTTCTCTAGTGTCTATGTTATTCTTTCCCCTGAAAATGTATTA
The DNA here is from genome assembly GCF_000001405.40 of Homo sapiens. Classification (NCBI taxonomy): domain Eukaryota; kingdom Metazoa; phylum Chordata; class Mammalia; order Primates; family Hominidae; genus Homo; species Homo sapiens. The sequence continues at coordinate 99,593,678 of NC_000005.10, read as the reverse complement.
AAGTTTCTCCAGGATACAAACATCTGAGCAAAATCTGTGAGTCAAAGAAGATTCTTTTATTCAGTTTAGCAAGATAAAATTAAGTATTTTCCAAAGTAGGTGTACCAATTTACATTGAAACATGTATCAGGTAACTAATGCCTAAAATGTGTGTTTAATATTGTTTTCTTGGAGTGTATATGTTGTAAGACTTCCCAGTGAATCACACCCTCACCAATCCTTTATATTTTCAGATATTTTAATTCTAGCAATACCATTCTTCTTGTTGTCCTGCTCCTCTCCAATTATGCCTTTTACTACCCTCATTTGTTTGCTCAATCTGCTTGCTTTATTCATAATTCCCTTAACCCTTCTCCCATTTCCATACTCTCAGCTCTCTGTCTCATCTCTTCCCCTGGATAATCCCTACATTCTTTAAGAGTATATATAAGATAAACACTTCATCTTTTCCTACAATGTAAATTGCCTTCTTTTGAAGCTATAACAACCATGTTTCTCTTGCTCTTATAACTGCAAGTCAATTCTATATCTACCTGTATCAACCAGTATCAACCTGTATCTATCTACAGATAGAGCTCTAGGTTGATATAAGTTTGGGTAATTTAATGAGTATTTTTTTATTCTGTTATTATATTATCAAGAAACAAGGAGACATAACAGGCAGGGTTGTCATAGAAGTATGACATTGCAAGTAACTTGAAAGATAGTCCCTTCAACTTTCCCCTTCATTTCAGATCCCCTTCAGCAGCATCTTTACCAAGCGTTACCACTGATTCCCATGGAATGACTACGACCTGTGACTACCCTTCCCATTCTTAAACCACTCTTACAGCAGACTTGTTTTCTCCTCACAGGGTCCTGAAATCTCTCTCTTGCTGTAATATTAACTCATTGATCTCAGATCAAGCCCTTGGATCATACTTTAAACTATCATCCTTTCCAGACCTATATACTAATTTCTTACCTGTTTGATTGATTGGTACATAGTATGTTTAATACCCACACTGCTTTTTATTTTCCTTTATTCTCTGCCAAGAGTTAATTTTTTGGTTTGAAAAACTGCTTTAAAAACAACTTTTGTATATACAGTCTGATAATAGTAGTTAGCATTTGAATCATGCAGGTAAGAAATCAACAACCCAAATGTGGATATTTAAATACTTTAATTGCCATTATTGAAGTCTCTATCAGAGATCTTCTGTTCTTTTTTTTACTTAATAGAAATGTTATAAGAAAGTGCTTTTCATTGGTTAAATGAGTGTTTTTCAAAATAGGTGCTTGCATAGGAAGATTCCATAAGCTCTACTACAACTATGTAAACTAATTATAAGAGCATGGCAAGCTCAGCAAAATACTGTTGAGGAACCTGGAATCTTACTGTGTACGTGTCCTTCTACCTCACAGAGCATTGTCACCTCCAATACTACAGCATCTTTAGGTCTGGCCCTCAGAATTAGTATCTGCATTCTGGAGAGAGTCTTTCATGAAGGTGCTAATGTGAGTCTCCAAATACAGATGTGGGGCCACCTCTGATCTAACAAAACTGGTCAACTACATTGTGCCATATCACTCCCAGCTTTAACAATTGGAGCTACCAAAATAATCAAGACAATTTTATATAGCAAGATTGCTTTTGTCTGTTCACACCACACTTTTTTGTGTGTGTGTACATTTGTTTATACAACAAAACCTGATACTAATTTACAATTCTATGTGATTTTTTTCTTTTTTTAACCTGTTATTTCTAAATAAGACTTATGATGATCTTAGTATCACAAAAACTGAGTAAGAAATAAGTCATTGAACAATTTCAAAAGAATTTTGTCAAATATGCAATCAACAGTCAGATGGAGTATCAGATGTATCTATTTTGAAGCAATCTTAGAAATTTGTTAGTAACCCACCCTTTCTCTAACAAGGTCACTCAATGGCTTCTCTTATCTCAGGGCCCCCAAATTTATGGGTATAATCTACTTGAGGATACATTCTTTAATAACAAATGTATAGAGAGTTATATGAAGCAACAGATTTGCAGATATGTGTTAAGATAACTAAGCCACTTTATTTCATTTTTTGGTGAATTATACTATGGGGTAATAACAAAAAATAAATCTACACAAGCAGGAAAATTGCTCACAAAACTTCAGGGACTTTTCTTTCAGGAAAACATATGTTTGTTTCTACAGTGTTCTACCCCTCCCTCAAGAGTGCTTTACAGCCTAGAGCCAGGAGAAATGCTCTAGATAAGATGGAAATATTTGCAAGAGGGAACTGGAAGAGATTTACTATTTTCTCAGCAAGCATACCCTAAAACTGAAGGCAGCTATATGTAGTGTCATGGCATTACAGTGGGCAATGGGGAGAATCTGTGTTTCTAAGGGGTGGAATTCTAGGCTGCTAATTAAGAATTGTCACTTTTATATAGATATGAATCACAGTTCAATTCAATAAGAAGGTTTATCTTCTAATACCAAAACAGTTCAATTCATATTTAAATAATCTTACAATTGTTTGTCCCAAATTCCTATGTGGACCTTTCAGCCTTCAGACTACCTAACTCTCCTGTGTATCTCTGGGTATATTTACTTAGAATACAGTAATTGCATTTCTTATCTTTAAAATGAGGCAACTGTGGGAGATAAGGTTTATATAAAATATATGAATCACCCTTGTAGTATTTAGAAACATTTTAGCACAGGTGAAGCCTTGTAAATCCCTTGGGGGTATAATTATGTCATTATCTTCACATTTTGAATCATATCCCATTACTTAATTATTTGTTTCTCAAAAACATGGGTCTTATATCACAGGCTGATTGCTTTGTATTGTAGTTCATGTCCATAAAATATGATGGAAGTAGAGCAAACGGTCATTGATTAACTTAGGGTAGGGTGTTCATTGATCACTGTTATTTGATCTATAACTCCTACCCATATTTGTCTTGTGAATATGCAGACAGATGTATCTATAGCCCACAGAATGGTGAACACTTGAAACACAAGATCAGTAATGCAACAAGACAAGAGTTACGTCTATAGCCTAGCTCTGTTTCTTGTTTTTCCACATTTATATATTTTGAATCTCTAAATATTAAACTCTAACTTAGTAGAATAAAATGTTTCTGTACTTTCATAGCATAAAGTGCTTTCAATTGTAAGCTCCTAGTCATTGAGAAGCTAAGCAGGAACAAATGATCCCCTAGAATTCTCTTGTGATAGGCACTGTTAGATGACAGTAGTCAATCTCTGGAGATACTTCAGGTTGCAGCTCTTCTCTAGGAGACAGCTGTGCCTTTGAGTGGGTTGGGAAGAATCAGCATGGAAAGAGAGTGAATGGCATAGAATTCTGAGAAAGATGTCTCTTTTATTCTTGTCATTGTAGCGATAAATATATTCGTGAACCCATGGTATACATAAGCAATAATTTTTAGAAGGATGTGATCTCCATTGATGTGTTTTTGCAATCAAAACAAAGCAGTATTGTAAATTATATGGCAAAAGTCATTTTATAGATACTGATAATCAGAGACCAGCATGTAGGCAAGTAAACATGGCTCTTCTTTTTATAGTGTGAATGTGGGTATTTGAAACATGGGGGTTATATTGGGTGGCATTCATGGCAACTAGAGGCATAGAAGTTTTAGAGGAGCAGTTGACAGCCTATTAATTATCAAAGGTTTATAGCAGGCCAGACAGAGAAGAGCTGGCACCTTCTAGAAAAATCCATAAACTGTCTTCTCCTAGAAAGTATAAAGGCATGGCAAATAGTTTCTACAAATGTTGTTCTCTTTTAACAGGTGTTATAAATAGTATGTTTTCATTTACAAAGTATTTTTCAACCATAGTGTAAATAGCTTTTGCACTGGGAATGTTCTGTTCATTTATTTTCTTTCCTTTTTTAGGGGCTATAAATTATTTGGTTCTCTTACTTAGGTGCATTTACTCTCTTTTTAAGAAAACAAAGCCCAAATCAATATTCACATGAATAAAAGCTGATATATGAGGATAATGAATTTGAAACCAAAACAACTGAAATGCCGCAGTGGTAAAAGGGCTTTCCTTTAACAATTGAAACTAAAAAAGTTGAATTAATATTTAACCTTCCATTTCTACCACTAGTTTGAATATTAATTGCTTTCAGAGCTACTGATTTTGTCTTAATAAACTATTTCTCATACTGAAAATCACATGGCAAATCAATTTGCATATTTTTTGGTAGAAAAAGTATTTTTCTCTAGAGTCAAACAAGGTGCAATGAGTATTTTTAATTGAAAATCATCTGCCATGATGGTTGCAAATGAGGGTACAATGGACAGGAGGCAGTGTCTGATGGGAAGCCATTTACAACTAAGTAGATATGACCATCTAGATGGGTTTTTCTATATTTATATCTGAAGGTGTCATGTAGATAATCCTGAAAATTAATTGAAGTATTAGAATGAGTTAGGGTAAGAGGAAATTATGCCAAAATTACTAAAATCTAATGAGTGCATCTAATAGTTAAAGCTCTGATTTAGACAGCATTGCCAGAAAAAAAAATTATTACTTTAAGTGAACAAAAAGAATTAAGTACTCTCCATACATCTCTTATAATTAACAAATTGTTACACTTTCATATATCTTTCTTCTACCAGCAGAGAAGGATAGTAAAATGGTTATGATGAAAGTATTTTAGTAAACAAAAGGATAAGAAGTACATTAACCTGGAATAACAAAGATGGCAGCAAAACATCAGATGTTGTTCTTTGCTATTGCACTTGATTGCACTAGTTGAAGATAAAAATGGCAGAAGAAGGTTTTATTTGATAGACTTAAAAGGCTGGAAGAAAATTATCATAGCTGAACAGTGTAAGAAAATTCTAACAGCTATAATCTGTTTTGATTCTCTTCTCCTTAACCATCAGTTTTGAGGGTTGATAATCAATGACATATGACCTAGATATTTGCTAAGACATATTGTGTTCAATCTGAGGGTAGTCATATTTTAAGTTATTAATTTGAAATTTTAAAATCTCATTAAAATCCTAAAAAATCCTATTTTTTAGTTTTTCTTAAAGAAATAGAAGGTTGACACTCAAACCTCAATGCGCCAAGAGATTAATAAAGGAAGCTGTATCCTTCAGACGTGGAATTTGTTCCCTTGGTTGTCGTAATTCCCATATATTTCTATTGGTTCCCGTCAGTAAGATTGCATGTCATTTGGCACACATCATCTTTCTCATACTATTTGTTCCTCTTTTTTTGTAACAGAAGAATATAAGTTTCTGTATTTGTTTCTTAGGGCTGCTGTAACAAAGCACTACAAATTGTATTTCTTAAAATAGAAATGCATTATCACACAGCTCTGGGGGTTAGATGTCTGAAATCAACGCATTGGAAGGCCCATGCTTCTTTTGAAACCTGTAGGGAAATCCTTTCTTGTCTCTTCTGGTTTCTGGTGAGTGGCTGGCAATTGGCAGGCCTTGGTTTGCACCTTCATTGCTCTAATGTTTCTGCCTCTGTCACCACATGGTGCTTTCTCTGTATGACTATCTTCAGGCTGTCCTCTTATAAGGACAGTAGTCATAATGGATTAGAGGCTCACCCTACTCCAGTATGACCTTATTCCAACTAATTACATCTGCAATAATCCTATTTCCAAATAAAGTCACATTCTCAGGCTCTGGAAGTTAGAAATTTAACATTTTTTTTTTTTGATCGGGGTTGGGTAGGGAGTGAGATAATTCAGTCCATAAGAGGTCAGCGTCTAGCATGTAGCATGTCCCGCAACAAATTTACATCCTTCCCACATGCAAAATACATTCACTTCACCTCAACATCTCCAAAAGTCTTAATTCATTCCAGCATCAACTCTAAATCTCATATAAATATCAACTAAATCAGGTATGTTTGAGATTCAGCACATGCTGTATCCTGAGACAAATTAGAAAACAAGTTACAGAAATAGGACAGACATTTCCTTTCGAAAAGGGAGAAACTGGAAGGAAAAAAAAGGGTAGTTGGTATAAGCAAGCTAGCAACAGAGTAGGGCAAATCCATTTTTTTTTTTTTTGAGATTGAGTGTCACTCTGTTGCCTAGGCTGGAGTATAGTGGTGCGATCTTGGCTCACTGCAACCTCCACCTCCTGGGTTCAAGTGATTCTCCTGCCTCAGCCTCCTGAGTAGGTTGGACTACAGGTGTGCACCACCATGTCCAGCTAAATTTTTTTGTATTTTTGGTATAAATGGCATTTCACCATGTTGGCCAGGCTGGTCTCGAACTCCTGAACTCCAGTGATCCACTCGTCTATGCCTCCCAAAGTGCTGGGATTACAGGCGTGAGCCACCGCACTCTGCCTCCATTCAGTTTTAAGGCTTAAAAATAACAATTCATTGCCAAATGTGCTCTTCTTTGGGCCTGGAGGGATGGCCCTGCCAGCTCAGCTCTAGGCAGCAGCCCTACTCTCTGGAACCTAGGAAGTAATGCTATCCCAGGCCTTTGCATTTGTAGCTCTGTCTTACAGTCATTTTTCCTCAATTGTAACCCATCTCTGTTCCTTTCAGTCCAAGCTAGCAGTGTTTCTGCTGATATAAAATTCTCCAAATTTTTGTCAGCTTCTTGTGCAATGCACTAGGCACCAAGATATCAGGCAAGAAATTCCCTCACAGACTTTTCCTGGAAAACCACATCATTGTTCCTGGCTTCTGCTGAGTGGCTGATTAGATCTGTAAGTCACACACCTGATCTCTGTAGCAAATGCTTTCCCTGTCAAATTCTTGGCACTGTTTCCAAACTATACTACCTGGATAGGGTGTGAATTTTCCAAATCAAATTCTAGTGTATTTTTGCTGAACAGTCCCTTCTTCAGTTTATCTCCTCACGTTTCACTATAAGCAGCAAGGAGAAATCAGGCTGTGTTGAAGAACACTGTGCTTGGAAATTCTCTCAGCTAAATATTCAAGTTTGACCCAGCATGGTGCCTCACACCTGTAACCCCAGCACTTTGGGAGATGAAGACAGGTAGATCACTTGAGTCCAGGAGTTTGAGAACAGCCTGGGCAACATGGTGAAACCCCATTTCTACTAAAAGTACAAAAATTAGTTGGGTGTGGTGGTGCACACCTGTAGTCCCAGTTATCTGGAAGGCTGAGGCGGAAAGATCACTTGAGCCCATGAAGTCAAAGCTGCAGTGAGCCAAGATCACACAACTGCACTCCAGCCTGGGTGACAAAGTGAGACCCTGTCTCACAAATGAATGAATGAATAAAAAATAAACAATAAATAAATAAATATTCAAGTTCATGGCTTACAAGTTCTCTGTTTGCCATTTTTTAAGAAGAAACATTTTTCCTCTAGTTTCCAATAACATGTTCTTCATTTCCACCGCATCCCTCAGTAGAATTACCTTTAACATACATAATTCCTCTAACAGATTCTTCAATGCAATCTCAGCTTTTTCTATCATGCACCTAAAAATTATTCCAGCCTCTACCCATGACCAAATTCCAAAGCCATGTCCACATTTTCTGGTATTTGTTATAGCAGCACTTAGAGTTTAGAAATCTAAAACCAAGGGGTTGGATTAGTGGTCTCCTCTACTCCAGTATGATCACACATTACCCTAACTATATGATGACACTATTTCCAAATAAGGGCACATTCTGAGGTACTGGGGTAGGTAGGACTTTGACATATCCTTTCTGAGGCATGTAATTCAACTCATAACAGTTTCAATACCCATATCTTTATCTGAAGTGAAAAAATAAAAAACCTAAGATAGACTGAGAGGGCTGCTTTATTTTTCTTGAACATTGCCCAGTTCCTACATTCACATTTCTTGCCTAGTAACTCTAGGGATTCAGTACAGTGGCTTGAAACTGAGGCAGTCCTCTATGATGGGACATAGATTATATTGATATATATAGAGAGAGAGATGTAAACTCATGAGCAATTTTCCAGGCTTATGCATTAAAAAAATTATCCATATTGCAATCATGGTTACTTTAAACAATCAAATACTACTGCAAATGTTATATATGCATTATAAGATTTTCTAAAATGCTCAAAAAAATGCAATGCTCATCACAAAATCAGAAGTAAGTTCAGGGACAACATATAATCTTCAGCTCAAACAGGACTTTCCTCAACTAAGAAAATTGGAGTGTAATATTAAACGCTAAATGATTTTGATGTTTTAAATATTATTTCTTAAAAACTAACATTTCTTATTACGATTAATGTAAAAAGAAGTTTAAACTATCAAAGCACAAGTACCCAGATGTCTATTTAATGCACATAAAGACTTTTTGTACATAAAAAGAACGCATGGGATGATTTATACTGGCTTTTAAACTTTATATATAATAATAATTGAGAAAAACTGTTTATTTGGCATCATGATGTCAGAGACAGTGAAAACAAACAGACAAAAAAAATCAGATCTCTGAACAATTTAACTTGTGGAAATTTCTTCTTCCTTAAATATAGTTATAACGAGTCTTTTCAGAGTCATTCAGTAATGATCATTCAATATGATCATTATTACTGTATTTTAATGTTGTGTTAGTTTTCGTCATGATCAAACAGACTGATGGTCAGTTAATACCCAGGATGATAGTAACGTTGAGAACCTTCTTATTTCACCGTGAACTCACCCAAAATGCAAATAAAATGGGTCACAGAGAAATACATAACCTGAGAAATGTTTGCACTTTAAAGACATATGTAGCTTATGAAGGTGATGATTTTACTTGCACATTTTTTCCTAACAGGCACTGCTTTCACAGCTTTGAGCATCTTAAAGGACTTTCTTTACATTCTGAACTTCTGGGAATCCTTAGTTATTTGTATTGCAAATAACTCCATTTTTAACAAGTCACAAAAGAGCCATTAATATGCAATATTATAGTATCCCCTGACAGGTTTAAACCCCCAAACAGACCTCAACTGTAAATAATTTTATATACATTATTTTGGTTTTCTTCCCCTCATCTTCACATTTCATCTTTTTTACTGACACTTTTATCTTAGATTTGGAGTCCAGCCTTCCACACCTGATCTTATACACCAGCCTCGCTTTACATCATGCTGCAAAATCCTCAGGTAATTAACATCATTTTTTCAATGATTTGACCCTCTCTGATATTTCTCAGACATACTTCCAATGATCCTGAAATAATGTCTCCTCTCTGACCAGTTATACAAGATTAAAATACTAAAATTATTTTCTGTGGAAATCTCAGAAGCCTATTTCATTTTTTAAATAAACTGCCTATTTCTTTAAGAAAACATGTTTAGAAAACTTCTATCTGAGACGTTAAGACAGCCTGCTTTAGGTGTATCAGGTTTTGAAAGTTAGAAAATTTGATGTGTCCTCTGTGTAAAAAAACAAAAAGGCAAAATTGCAATTGTCACATTAAGTCCAAACATTACTATATAAATCACAATGAATAGCCAATTTTATAAAATTACAAATTTTGAACACCAGAAATATTTTTAAAATCATATTTTCACCATTTAACTTTCTCACCAACCTCTATAATACATTTTCTTACATTTTGTTTGTATTTTTTCTGATTACCATGTCATATGATGACAATTGTATAATAGCATTGTCTCTACAAAAATACAAAATGTAATTCAGTCTTTCTTCTAGCATGGTTGATGAAGACCTTTATTATTAGTTAATGTTTAGAAAGGTTTCTTTCAGCTTCAATCTTGTTATTGGAAATGCTATGCAAATTCTAGGATTGTTTCTAAATTTGTCAAAATCTCTTTTTAGTTTCTTTTAGTATAAACTTTAAGATTTCAAAACTTATTTACTTTGTACTTCCTTTTGCAGTGTGTTGTCTTAAATAATTTTTGGCATGACCACCGTTTGTTGATTAAATTCTTGTTAATGTTTTTGTTTGTTTCATCATCAGCAGCAGCATTTTGTGGTATTCAACCAGGAAATAAGGCTTGTTCTTTCTTCACCCCTCATTCTTTATATCAACTGAGTAGCCAGATCTGAAAATTAGGCCTCCCAAAGGTTTCTCTATTCTTCTCTTCCATATTCACAGATATGATATGGTACAGAACGTCATGATCTTTCACATAGAATAACGTTGACACCACCTAATGAGCTGCCACACTTCTGTTGCTCTCATATAATCCTCACACAATAGCCACAATCATCTTTCAAAAATTTAAACAAAGTCTATCATTTGCCTGCATACAACTTTAAGAATATCTCAATTTCACTTCAAAATAAATCTACCTCTTTCCTGTAGTCTACAATGGCTTAAGTTTTCTCTTTCATTTATTGTATTCCAGAAACACTGGCTGTCTTTCATGCCTTGAGCATGTTAAACTTTATCTTATCAGGGCTTTTTCACAGGCTAATTCCTCTCTTAAAACTGAGCATTGTCTGTATTTTCAATCACTCTCAATATAATACAGAGAACCATGTAAACTTACTCTGGTTACTAGTGAGGTTAAATAACTTTTCATGTGTGTATTGATCATCTTGAATTCTTTTTCATATGCATTTTTCACTCAAATTTCTTGCTTAGTGTTGCTATTGTGCAAAATCACTTTTAAAGGCTTTTGTATAAGGTTATAGAAACGTGTTTACATATATTGCAGATTTGTAAAAAGTTTTTATTATGTTTTATTCATTGTTTAAAATGGAATTTTGTGCTTATTTCATTTTTAAAAATTTAAATATTAATTCCATCTTCCTGTATGGTTGCTAGTATATTATTTTTAACTGTCATTTCATTTCTGAACTAAAAAGGAAGATATGCCTTAGTCTACTCAGGGATTTCTCAAATTTCAGTACTGAATTTTTTTGACATATCAATTATTAACAACAATCTATCAACTTAATACCCAGCATTTCATACTTGTGAATTTTTAGGGTAGTCTAAAACGTCCCTATCTTTTCTCATATTAGTAAACTTTCAAACTCTTTCTTAGGTTTTAAGTTTTCACATAATGAATCTTGCAGGAAAATAAAACTAATCTCTTGGTTCACTATTTCACTGAAAAGACTGAACACTTTTGGTGCACCACATACCCTTTTAGTTGCTGGGAATAACGCAGTGAAAATAGACAAAACAGAAAAATAATTTATGTCTTTTCTTCCCCTTCTCCTTTTTCTCCCACCTGACACCTGTCTGCTCTCTCTCTTCCTTCTTCTCTGGTTCAGTAATCAATAACTGAGATATACATGAGAGAATCATCCACTGCTATTTTGGTAGACTTTTTAGTTTCTCACTCTTATTTTAATCAATATTTTACTTTTATCTTTATAATTTTGATAGGTCCATCAATATTTGTGATCTTTATCTTTCAGATGAATTTAACATTGTCATTATGTAGTCATTAACATAGCTATATGAATTATTTGCTTAATTAATATTTACCAAATTTTAAATCTTCAATCTTTCTGTTTTCAGAATTAAATTATATTACTTGTAGAAAGACCATCACTGATTTCTTTTTAAAATAAAATCTGACAATCTTGTATAATTTAAGTATTCTTGTTGTAGATTAATATATCTTCTCAGCACTGTTTCCAGTTATCAATCTCTCTACTCATGAAAGTTAAGAAATTCTTCCTATGATATACATTACTGACTTTATATATTAAGTAAACAGATTGTTTTCTTAAAGAAATGTTTATTACTAAAATAGTCACCATTTTCACAGAATACTTTTAAGATGATTTGAAATTAATATTCACAAAAATTCTATTTACCTCTACATTTAATGACTATTAGTCAAGTCGTAATTTTACTGTCTATAAGGATCCTTAAGATGTGGGTCTTATTCTCAAGGCACTTATCATCCAGTTAATGTTCTCAATCTATGCAAGCCTCTGAGAAGTCAATCTATTTAAAGTGGATCTTAACAAACTATCATATTAAACACCTGTCTAATCATGTTCTCATCAACATCATAGCCATCGTTATCAGTATTCACCATCCTTCACTGACTTTTATTGAGCTCACTGCAGTATGAGTGTGTAATGCTACTTATGCTATTAAAATATTTACCATATATACATGTAGGAGAGAAAAAGTGTATCTTTTTCTCACTTGTTGCCAAATTCATGGCTGAGACACCTATAATAAAAGATAAAATAATAAGAGAAATATCAGTTTTATGGGACATGAGAGCCTTCGGAAATGAAGACCCAAATAAATAGATTAGTCTGCATATTTTTATGAGCAATCAGGTACAAGTATGATTGGAGGACAAAAGGGAATGATCTAATGGTAATACACCGCAGGGAATTGAGCAGTGTATCTGAGTTGGTTCAGATTGTTCTTTGTATCGCATGGTCTTTAGAGATAAGGACATTCTTTTCCTCTGAATATAGGAGGACCACCTCTGGAATGAGTGTCTATGACCCACTTTAGAGAAAGGTCAAAGAATTCTTTTCTGGCCTACTTCAGGGGAAATTGATAGAAGAAGGTCAGAGAGACTTTCATGCTTCTGTTCATTTCTCAAATTCCTTCAGCTTAAAATACTCAGTATGCCAAGTAGCCATATTTTGAAATATATTTTAAACTTAAAAAGGCATATATTTGAAATTATTATATTTCTGTACACTTTGACTAAAAATAGTCAAAGGCTTTTCATGATTTATTAAGTGAAATGATCTTAGGCAAAAATTCAAATTTCTCCTCAAAATCATGATATGTATTCTGACCAATCTCTCCACTATAGAAATTTATCCTATACCTTCAATATTCCTTAGTGCCTTCCACATCATCCCAAACTCACTGTTATTCATTCTTTTCCATAATTTTAATTATTTATTTAGTACTCCATACACTATGCATTTAATGTAGTAGCTACCATAGTGAGCAAAACAGATTTGATCCCTAGCCTAATAAAACTTTCAGTTTTGTTAAACATTCTTATTCTAACTCATTCCGTCAAAAATTCTACTACTCTCTTAAGCTATCGTATCAGTAAGATTTTAAGAACTATAAAGAAGAAAATTCAAAAACCATACCCAATTTCTCCTCTAGATATAATCACTATTAAAATCCTAAGCAGTTTTCAAGCTCAATTAAAAGTCAACGATTGCCAAATAAATTGCCCTAATTTCTTTGACCAGGTAAAATATCTCCTTTCTTTTGAATTGTAAAAGCACTTGAAAATTGCCTAATAACACATTATATTTTGTCTTGTATTATAAATATCTATATATTTGTTTTTTATTGTTATCCTAGAATCTTGAGATTTGAGACCTTTTATTTGATACTTAGCAAATAGTACTTATCCTATAAATATTTGTGCAGTTTAAATTCCTTGGTGTTGTTTCTCCACTACTTTCTTTATACCACTTTATATACCACTTTATTTAGACTTCAGATATTTGGTCATGAGATAGAAATTGCACAGATTAAAGAGAAAATTCATAAGCATGACTTAAGTATGCATACAATGTGGTTTAGTAGTTAAGACTGTTTCAAGAATCTGACAGTCAATATACAATTTCCAAATGTGTCAAAAATTTCAGATTTTACAGCAAAACCTGTATTTCCTCATATATAAAATAAATATGGTAAACATCTCCCTTATACCATTGTTTTAAGAATTGAACGAGGTTAAGCAGGTAAGAGGCTAGCATGCTTTAAGTATAATACATTATAAAGACAGTTTTTATTATCTTGTTAATTTATTATTTTACATCAAGTCAATTTGGTTTTGTATCATTCAAATATGGATATGTGTGTGTGTGTGTGTGTGTGTGTCAGTATACTTAAAGCACAAGTGGAATTTGTACTGTGATTGAAATCCATACAGGTTTTTAAGTTGCCTCTGCCAATACTCTCCAGCCAAAGACCGTAAGAAACACTCCACAAGGAATAATGAGGCTTCTCATTTAGGGAATCTTAGAAAGGATGTATAAGATTTAAACTTGTGGTAGGTGATTTGGGAGTGATAGAGGAAGCATAGCTTGCCTATAGTTTATGTGTTGTTCGGAAGCGAGAGTAAATTTAGATTGGGAATAACAATAATGTGTATCTAGAAGGAAAGAGGATTAGAGTGAGGCCAAATGAAATTAGCAAAGAAACAGCTTTCAAGCTATTAACTATCATTTGGTTATTTTTATGCTTAGGAAAATAGTAATGTTTGTTGTTAGTTGTCAGACTTGATTACACAGTGTTTTGTTTTTTTTTTTCTTATTGATCTATTACGGTCACAGAGTGGCCTTGTTTGATGATATTCTGTGAAATGCCTTATGTTCACCAAGAGAACACCAAGGCATTGAGGGCCAGGCTGACAGCTCTTTGCAACATGAAGGACAAGCAGATTGTACTCAGCCAGGCTGTGGCTCTTAGTGTTGTTTTTCTCTGTTACCTGTCAACAAAACTTCACATATTGATTCCAAAACAGTTAGTTGCTAAGGTAGAAAGTGTAATAACACTGATCAAAACTGGAAACAAATTCTTAACAAATGCAACTTATTTTTCCTTTTCTTTCATGGACTTTATTATAAAATAGTAGGTGTAAACATTGATCAAAATTTTCTAAACAACTATGATATTGCACCTGTATCAATTGCTACAAAGGAGAGGTAAATGGTGGTATGGTAACTAACAGAAAGCGAGGTTAGCTAACACTATACTGGAAATTACCAAAGATTTATCAGAGGAAGTCACAACTTATTTGAGATCTAAAAAAAGGAAAAAGAGGTAACAAAGTAAACAAGGAAAGGAACAGTACTCCAGAGAGAGAGAACATATCTAAAAACTTCCTGTATCCTGTGTGCCAGCACTGAAGATTGGTGTAAGAAGAAAAAAAAGCCATAGGTAGAGTCAAATCATATGTGTATTTGACAGAGGTCCAGATGAGAGGCTAATAATAGCTGAAAAAATGGGATGATGGCCAGAGAGGAAAAAGAAGATAGATACAAGTATATTTAAGCATTAAACATGGATAATATTAAATTGATATATTTAATAACTAATTAGTCAAAATAGAGACTCCTAATTTTTTGATTTGAGGAATTGTGCTTATAGTGTCAATCACTTATTTAGGGAAGAACGATAATGTATCATTTTTAGGAGGAGAGAAAAAAATTAATTCCTGCATAAGATGGAATCTCAAATGGTTTAGAATCAGTTAATCTCATGTGGGCCCCAGAATAAACAGATCTACAACTCATAGAAAATGATAGGGCTAGAGATATGAATTTAAGAATGGACTGTAAATGAAAATTAAATTCATTTTGTGAGTTTTGCCCTTGTTAAATAGGTTTTGCTTATGTGTTGTATTTTAAGATTAGCCTAGGCTGGGCGTGGTGGCTCACGCCTGTAATCCCAGCACTTTGGGAGGCTGAGGTGGGTGGATCTTCTGAGGTCAGTAGTTCGTGACCAGCCTGGCCAACACAGTGAAACCCCGTCTCTACTAAAAATATAAAAAATAAGCTGGGCACAGTGGCAGGCGCCTGTATTCCCAGCTACTAGGGAGGCTGAGGCAGGAGAATCTCTCGAACCTAGGAGGCAGAGATTGCAGTGAGCCGAGATTGTGCCATTGCACTCCAGCCCAGGCAACAAGAGTGAAACTCCATCTCAAAAAAAAAAAAAGGTTAGCCTAAAAATTAAACTGATGTCCTCAGATCTTTAGAGTGAATCTGAAACTCTAAATCAAATAAAGAATTATTAACTTCTGTTTAAGATGTTGGAATAAGATCTCTGGGATCAGGTGAGTGCTAGGAAAAAAAGCTGAAGTTCTCCCAGCACATCATAGTTTATATATTTAATCTGTTAAACCAGATTATGTGGTTTTCAGTGGAAATGTTTTTCTTTGAGGCGAAGACTAACAAAGGTGGTCTAAGGGAACAACCGAGTGTACCGTCTATTGAAACCTCTCCTTTCTTAGGCCTTCTTGCTCGCATTTTTTTCTTCTTCCATGTAAAAGACTTCTGACATTCTTTGTTATTGGTTTTATGATCAGGTCTGTCTTGGTACCTGTAAACAAGAACCATACCAGAAATATATTGGTTGTGTTTACAAGAGTATTGTATTTACAAGAGTCTAGGCATATATACATATATATTTGCAAACTATATATTTGATAAAGAGGCTCAATTTATTCACAGTTATGTAGGCCTAACAGGAAACATGACTGGGGGGGTCCCAGGAAACTTACAATCATAGTGGAAGGTGAAAGGCAACCAGGCAAAACTTACCATGGTGGCAGGAGAGAGAGAAAGTAAAGGGGAAATTGCCACACACATTTAAACCATCAGATCTCATGAGAACTCACTCAGTACCATAAGAACAGACAGGAGGACATCTGACCCTATGATCAGTCACCTCCCACCAGGCCCCACCTCCAATTTGACATGAGATTTGGTTGTGGACACAAATCCAAACACTGTCATTCTGCCTCTGGTGCCTCCAAAACTTCATGTGCTTCTCACATTGCAAAATACTATTATCCCTTCTCAAAGAGTCCCCCTGTCTTAACTCACTTCAGCATTAACTTAAAAGTTCACAGTCCAAAGCCTCATGTGAGCGAGGTAAGTCCCTTCTGCCTGTGAGCCTAGACCATTAAAAAAAAAAATTAGTTACTTTCAAGATACAATGGGGTTACAGGCAAGCATTGTGTAAATTCTTTCATTTCCCATGGGAGAAATTGGCCAAAACAAAGGGGCTACTAGCTCCATGCAAGTCAAAACCACTCAGGACTGTCATTAAATCTTAAAGTTCCAAAGTAATCTCCTTTGACTCCATGTCTCACATCGAGGGCAAACTGATGCAAGATGTGGGCTCCCTAGGCCTTGTGCAGCTCCATCCCTGTGCCTCTGCAGTGTACACCCCCTGCAGCTGATTTCTCAGGCTGGCATTGAGTGCCTGCATCTTTTCCAGGTGAACAGTGCAAGCTACTGGTGGATCTAGCACTCTAGTGTCTGCAAGATAATTGCCCTCTTCTCACAGCTCCACTAGGCAGTGGGGATTCCACGTGGGGACTCCAACCCCAAATTTCCCCTCTACATTGCCCTTGTAGAGGTTCTCCATGAGGACTCTGCCCTAGCAGCAGACTTCTGCCTGGACATCCAGGCATTTTCATATATCCTCTGAAATCTAGGTGGAAGTTCCCATACCTCAACTTTCCATCCCTGTGCTCCTGCAGGCCCAACACCACGTGGAAGCTGACAAGGCTTGGGGTTTGAACCCTCTAAAGCAACAGCCAGAGCTGTACATTGCCTCCTTTTGGTCACGGCTGAAGTTGGAGTGGCTGGGACCCAGCGCACTATATCCCGAGGCTGCAAAGAGCAGCAGGACCCTCCTGGGTCTGGCCCATGAAATCATGTTTCCCTCCTAGGCCTCCAGGCCTGTGATGGGAGGGGCTACTGCAAAGGTCTCCGAGGCATTTTCCCCACTGTCTTGGTTATTAACATTAGTCTTCACTTTACTTATGTGTTCTGCTGCCAGCTTGAATTCTCCCTAGAAAATTGGTTTTTCTCTTCTACCACATAAGTGGGCTGCAAATTTTTCAAACTCTTATACTCTTCCTCCCTTTTAAATATGAGTTGCAATTTCAGACCTTCTCTTTCTTTATGCAAATGGGCATAGGCTTTTAGGAACAGCAAGGCTACATTTTCAACACTTTGCTGCTTAACAATTTCTTCCACCAGTTACACTAAGTTGCACTAAATCACACTAAATCATGTCTTCAAGTTCAAAAATCAACACATCTTTAGAGCACAGGCACAAAACTGCCAGTTTTTGTTTTTTTTTTTTTTGCTAAAGCATAGCAAGAGTGACCTTTGCTCCAGTTCCCAGTAAGTTCCTCATCTCCACCTCAGCCTGGACTTCTTTGTCCATATCACTATCAGTATTCAAGGTCACAACCATACTCTAGGAAGTTCCAATATTTCCCACATCTTCCTATCTTCTTCTGAGCCCTCACGACTGTTCCAACCTCTGCCTGTTACCCAGTTCCAAAGTTGCTTCCACATTTTCAGGTATCTGTATAGCAATATCCCACTCCTGGTGCCAATATTCTGTATTAGTTATTTCTCACAATGCTATAAAGAAGTACCTGAGACTGGGTAATTTATGAAGAAATTTAATTTACTCAGACTTAACAGTAAGCATTACTGGGAATTTACTCAGACTTAACAGTAAGCATTACTGGGAAGCCTCAGGAAACTTACAATCATGACAGAAGGTGAAGAGAAAGCAGGCATATCTTACAATATGCACGAGAGAGAGAGAGAGAGAGAGAGAGGGAGAGCACACAAAGGGGAAGGTGCCATACACTTTTAAACCATCAGATCTCATGAGAACTCACTCACTATCATGAGAACTCACTCACTATCATGAGAACTCACTCACTATCATGAGAACAGCAATGGGAAATCTACCCCCTTAATCCAGTCATCTCCTACCAGGCCCTTCTTCCAATTAGACATGAGATTTGGGCGGTGACACAAATCCAAACATATCAGTACATGACTACAAGGAATATAGTAGTAAATCAGTCTGTTACCGTATCAGAATAACTTTAAAACAAATGGTTACTTGTTAGAATTTTTGTTTAAACTAATGATATAATGTTTATTGACTAACAATTTATGACATAGAGAAGCATTCAATAAATCATTTTTCTTATTCATTTATTTCATTTTTTCATTTTCTGTTTCATTGTTAACGTTTTGATCAGGAATGTGTCATCTATGCTTTTATCTAACTGAAGGATCTATAGTACATTCCCATAATATCCCAGCCATTATTTATGGGCTCTCATTATATTTTTCACACTTAAATTGTTCCTACAGATTACAGGTGACAGCTTCTTCACAAACAATACAATTCATAACTACTTGAGACCAATGGTAACACTGATTTGCCATTTGTTAGTGGAATCCAAAACCTCTAATAATCCATCTATAGTCAGAGCTTTATAAGTAAGATCCTTTTGCCTTGCCCATAAAGTTTTATTTTGTAGGTATAGGGTAATGCCATAATTATTCATTTTTGAAACATTCTCCAAGTGACTCTGATACACACTCAAGCTTTTGATTAAAAAAAACTAAAATGAGCCTGCTCTCTCTAGTCTGAATAGTAACGTCATGTAGAAAAAATATTTATAGTAAATAAAAGTAAACAGAAAGCAACTATGATTCATGAACTAATAATAAGCTACTATTGGCAAAAGTGTACATTTGAGATCTTGAATACTTTTGAATTCTTAGGCTCATAGTTCAGTAATAGTTAAAGAGAAAACATGCATTACTAGTACATGAGGTACTTGGTTTTCTCTTTCTGCGTTAGTTTACTTAGGATAATGGTTTCCAGATGCATCTATGTTGCTGCAAAGGATAATGATTTCATTCTTCTGTATGACTGTGTAGTACTTTATGATATATATATACCACATTTTCTTTATCCAATACACCATATGTAAGTTACATGGATGTGCTTTGGTCAAGAGTATGCTGAGGTAACATCCTGCATGACTCAGTGGGATTGGAGCACAGGTGCATAATTCCACTTGTTATATAACCTGCTTTTATAAGTTCATACCTGGCTCAGAGCCTATTATTTGTAAAAGGTATAACTGCCCTGCTGATGCTGTCCGGGCTTGGCTCAGGGCACTCCCAGAGAAAGAGAGAGAGTCAGAGATGTCCATCTTGCAGAGAGACAGTGGAAAGCCAGGACGTGGCTCAGCTTGTGCCCTGAGAGGGAGAGAGTGAAGCTGCTGACCCTGTAAGGGAGAGCTGGTTGTGCAGTTGTGTGTTTGAGCAGCTGAAACCCCAGAGCCAGAGCAGGTGGCCGGGACAGAGATGGAAAATGTGAAAGAGCTGTTGATGAGAGAACTAGTGTGAGTGAGCTGCTGATGAGAGAGCTGCTGAATAAAACCATACTTCATCTGCCTATGCCCCAAGTGTTCTTTCAGTTATCTGCCACTCATCCACCACTCCCTTCGGACCCCATCATTGGCTGGAACCTGGCACTAGGCATGACATCATTGATGGGCAACTGGGTTGATTGCATGTCTTCGTTATAGTGGATACTGCTGCAGTGAACATATGGGTACCTGTTCTTTTTAGTAGAATGACTTATTTTCCTTTGGGTATATACACAGTAATGGCGTTGTTGGGTAGAATGGTAATTCATGTCAGCTCTTTGAGGAATCTCCAAACTTCTCTCCACAGTGCCTGAGCTAATTTACATCAGTCCTGTTCTTTGCAACCTCATCCTTGGGTTTTAGGAGTTTTGCTATTTTTTTGGCTTTTTAACAAAATCCATTCTGACAGGTTTGAGATGGCATCTCCTTGTGTTTTCTATTTTCATCTTTCTGATGATTAGGGAAGATGAATTTTTTTTTTCAGATGTTTGTTGGCTGCTGGTATATCTTCTGTTTGTTCACGTCTTTGGCCCTCTTTTAATGAGGTCATTTGGTTTTTGCTTGTTGGATTGCTTAAATTATTTATATCTTCTGAATATGAGGCCTTTTAAAGATGCATTGTTTGTGAATATTTTCTCCCATTCTGTGGGTTGTCTGTTTACTTTCTCAATAGTTTTTCTTGCTGTGCACAGAAGCTCTTTAGTTTAATTAGGTCCCACATTTCAATTTTTGTTTTTGTGGCAATTGTTTTTGAGGACTTAGCCATAAATTCCTTGTCAAGGCCAATATGGAGAAGGGTATTTTTTAGGTTTTCTTCTCGAATTTTTATAGATCAAGGTCTTACAGTTGTTTTAAATCTATCTTGAGTTAATTTTTGTACATGGTGAAGATGTAGGGGTCCAGTTTCATTCTTCTGCATATGAATAGCCAGTTTTCCCAGCACCATTTATTGAACAGGGACTTTTTTCCCATTGCTTATTTTTGTCAACTTTGTCAAAGATCAGATGGTTGTAGTTGTGTGGCTTTATTTATGAGTTTTGTATTCCTTTGGCCTATGTGTCTGCTTTTCTACCAGTACCATGCTATTCTGGTTATTGTAGCCTTGTAGTATAGTTTGAAGTTGGGTAATATGATACCTCCAGCTTACTTCTTTTTGTTTAAGATTGCTTTGGCTATTCAGGCTCCTTTATGGTTCCACATGAATTTTAGAATAGTTTTTTCTAATCCTGTGAAAAATGACATTGGTAATTTATTAGGAATAGTGTTGAATCTGTAAATTGCTTTGGGCAGTATGGCCATTTTAATGATACTGATTTTTCCAACTGATGAGCCTGGGATATATTTCCATTTATTTGTGTCATCTCTGATTTATTTTAGAAATGTTTTGTAGTTCTCCTTGTAGATATCTTTCGTCTCCTTTGCTAGCTATATTTCTAGGTGACTTATTTTTTTCTGTGACTATTTTAAGTTGGATTGCATTCTTGATTTGGCTCTTAGCTTTAATGTTGTTGGTGTGTAGAAATACGACTGATTTTTCATATCGATTTTGTATCCTGAAACTTTACTGAACTTTTTATTAGCTATAAGCCTTTTGGCAGAGTCTGTAGGGTTTTTTAGATATAGAATCATATCATCAGCAAAGAAAGATAGTATGACTTTCTCTTTTCCTAGATAGATTCCTTTTATTTCTTCCTTTTGCTTCATTGCTTTGGCTATAACTTTCAGTAGTACATTGAATAGGCATGGTGAGGGTGGGCATCCTTGTCTTGTTCTAGCGCTCAAGGAGAATGCTTCTAGAGTTTGCCTGTTCAGTATAATGCAGGCTGTTGTTTTGTCATAGATGGCTCTTATTATTTTGAGGTATGTTCCTTCAGTGCCTAATCTGCTGAGGGTTTTTATCATGAGGTGATGTTAGATTTTATCAAAAGCTTTTTCTGCATTTATTGCGATGATCACATCGTTTTTGTTCTTGATTCTGTTTATATGGTGGGACTCATTTATTTATTTGTGTATGGTGAACCAACCTTGCATCGCAGGAATAAAGCTTACTTGTTTGTGGTGAATTATCTTTTTGATATGCTGCTGGATTCAGTTAGCTAGTATTTTGTTGAGGATTTTTCTATGTTCACTGAGATGCTGACCTGAAGTTTTCTTTTTTTCATTGTGTGTCTGCCAGTTTTTGCTATGAGGATTGATGCTGGCCTTGTAAAACGTGTTAGGGAAGAGTCTTTCCTCCTTGAGTTTTAGGAATAGTTTCAGCAAGATTGGTTAGATTTATATAATTCTTCCTTTTCCTGAATCATCAGGGAGTACTTATTTTCTTTTATGACACTTATGTCAGCTTGTTCAATGGCCATATAGTTGTTGGTACTCCACAGACAAAATATCTGTACCTATGGACACATTCTACCTCAGAATATGCCTAGCTTTGGCTTGGAATATCAGAGTCTTTCTGTGTTGTAGGGATACTGGAAAATAAAAGAACCAGTGTGTACCAAAGACTTATAAAAGGTCAGGCACTTGGTTTCATTGAATGGTTTTTGATTCTGCAAATGCTCTACTGGTTTATTGAAGACAACTGATATGCTGAAGCTTTAAGAACTGATATATTTGCCAAGAACTCTGTCAGAGAGAATACTTGATATATGTATCTCCTACATCATTTATTTACATATTTCCATGCCCATGTTGTCAGCCTGAAAATGTATTTCTTCTCTTTAGAACATCATATTATAATGTTTATTTTAAAATGCCTGTTATGGATATTTCTTTAAAGTGTTAAGTAAAATGGCAGCTATTGGCTATGGTATCAAATAAAAATTTTCTTCTTGGATTTTTTCAGCTGTATTGAAAGCAATTTATGCCTATTGTTTATGAAAGGACGGTTATCTCAGAAGATTATCTTTGATCCAATGATAGTTGATGCCAGCTCCAACAGGTCCCATCAGATCAGACCACTTGCTTTCAGTCTGGCATCCTTCCATTTACTCCAGGTGCAGATTCTAGAATCACTTTTCTAAAACACACATTGATCATGCTGCCACTATGTTCAGAAGCTTCTTGTGGCTTGTCATGAGTTTAAAATTAATTCCTTACCAACACAGTGAACAATCCCTTTAATTTGAATCCAACCTACCTCTCTATCCTCATTTCTTTCCTACAATCCCACTATGTTGGGCAAACACGTTGCCTTTTCAAAAACATTTTGAAACCTTATCTGTCAGGGTGTAGTGCAAAAAACAGAAAACATCCTAGATATTTAAAAAAGGAAGTAATTCAGTTCTAGGAATTAAGTGATTGCAGATTGATGGCTAAAAACCAGATTCTAACTGGGGGTCCACAAATAATTCCCACAAGAATAATGAACTGATGAACTACACCTGTATATTCAAAACCACCATGAGAATTAATGTCAGAATCAAAAAGCCATTCCCAGAGTTGACACCTGACTTTCATGATACTGAAAAATGGATAAGGGAACAGAGCTGCAGAAAAATGACCACCAAAATTGGGCTGAAAAGCAGTCTCTGTTTCATGGTCTTCTTTCAATGATCTTTTTCAACATCACTTTAGAGAAAATCAGCTTCCTCCTTTGGAGAGAAAAACGTCTAACGAAGACAGTAGCTGTCTTTCAGGAAACCCTTGTATTTTATCTAGAGTTTCTTTCTGATATGTCAGCATTTAGTTAAGTGAGAAATATTATTCAAGTAGTTCCCAAATAATTTCACCATTTAGAAGGAAAGTAAGGGTTCACTGATAGAAAAAATAATTGAAAAGGCAAAGGAAGATAATTTAAGAGTGAAAGATTGAGAAATAATTCAGATATCTGAGAATCTGAGTTTATCTTAATGGATTTTGTTTCTATTTCCTAATCATTAAGCATTATAAGAAAGGTTATTTGTGGCTTGGCCACCTTATACCTGTTATCTGTTCATCAGCCCCTTCACATCCAATATCCTTGTAGGTATAGGTATTCTTACCCCAAGAAAATTAATCTCAGTGAGGTAAGAGATTTGCTCACATTTAAATACAAAATATTAGCATTCAAATCTAATTCTAACTGCTTCCAAAGCTCTATATTCTGTAGAGTAACACCCATTTTTATGATTAAAATTTATGCCAGTAGAAAACATTAAAAACATATTATGGCTTTGTATTATTTCAAACTATGGAAAGAAGGAAAATGGAAATGAACATGTTTCTGTTAAACTCAATAAAAGGTAATTTTAAATACATATTATTATGAAAGAATAATTTACATTATTTAAAGGGCGTGGAGTGGATTATTTGGCAAGGATTCAAGTTATTCACAGGGGAAAAGCAATACTATTTCACGTTATGGACAATTATTGGTACAATGTGTACTTTTTCCGCTTAATAATTGCATGTTCCCTTTTGTCACATCCGCACAATACAGAATAATTAAAGCACATTAGGTGCATTGTGAAAGGGACATTTGGTTTTAATTAACATTAGACAATAAGAAAGGCAATTTGTTTTATATTACTATTCATTATTTGATGCACTCATATACTCACACACATACACGGTGTCTACACACACAAAAAGGCAACTGTGAAACACAGCAAAGCCTCTCAATCTGGACTTACACTAGGTCTACCTAAAAATATACCAAATGTTTTACGCAGAAAAATTTCTTTCTTCCTTTAGACATCTTAGACCATTGGTCCCCAACCATTTTGACATCAGGGACCAGTTTCCTGAAAGGTGGAAGAAAATTTTTTCATGGAGGTGGGAGTTGGGGTGGGGGCAATGGTTTCGGGATGAAACCATTGTACTTCAGATCACTCAGATCATCAGGCATTAGATTCTCATAATGAGTGCGCAGCCTAGATCCCTCACATGCGCAGTTCACAATAAGGTTTTCACTCCTATGAGAATCTAATGCAGCTGCTGATCTGACAGGAAGCAGAGCTCAAACCATAATGTTTGCTCTCCCTCTTGCTGTGTGGCCCAGTTCCTAACAGGCCACAGACCTGTATCATTCCATGGGCCCCTTCCTTAGACAACTGTGTGGCATTCTAATGTAAAAAAAAAAAAAATTAAACAGGAGTCAGGTTTATAGTGATTATTTCAAAAGTAAGTTGGATAATCAAAGTCTCGTGGTGCTTATACGGCAGCATCAGAAAGCTAGAACTCACGAAAGACTAAAACCACACTGGATCTTCATGTTAAGATAGACTATAAAGAGGCAAGACTGACTTGACACCTGTGGCTTGTCTAATATACTTGGGTGAAAAGAAGTTCATCTTATAATTAAATAAAGTGTCAAACTAATTTTATATACAGTATAAGTGAATTTAGATTGCCTACATGACAAACTAATGTCCTACTCCTCTGCCAGGAAGATATTGACCATGTATATCAGTTAGCTTTTGCTTTGTGACAAACCACTCCAAAATTAAGTGGTTTAAAACTATAACCATTTCTTTAACTCATGCTTCTGTGATTTGGCAGTTGGGCTGGCCTTATGTGGACAAATGTGTTTGCCCTCTGTGGTCTTTCAATCCCCAGCAGGCCAGCTAAAACTTTTTTAAGTGGCAACTGCACAAAATTCAAAGTAAAGAGTGGAGGTCAGTGACTCCAGATTTTGGGCTCTAGGATCAGAATTGACACACTGTCATTTATATTGCATTCTATTGCCAGCCAATCACATAGTCAACTCGAATTAAAGAGAAGGAAAAAGAAACCCCACCACTTGAGGCAAAAAACAAAAAATAAATAAAAGCTACATTAAATGGGCATAAACATAAGAAGGAACGAAGAACTGTGGCCAGTTTTTCAATCTACTAGATCATGTTGGAAACCAATTTTTGTTGGTTAGATAGTTCTCTTGATATTGAAGTGTCCTTCAACCTAAAGTAGCCTTCCGAATAATGATTAGGGCCTGAAAAGAACAAAAAGACTGATCCCCCATCCAGTAAAAAAGAATTCTTCCTGCCTGGTGGCCTTCAAATGGGGGTATTGACTTTTTTCTTGCCTTTAGACTTAACTAAAACCTTGGCTCTTCTTGGGTCCCAAGTCTGGGGCCTTATGACTAGAAAAACGTGATCAGCTCTCTTGGTTTACAGATCTTCACACTCAGGTGGAAATAAAACAACAGTTTTCTCGATCTTCAGTTTCCAACTCACACTGCAGACCTTGAAACTTGCTTGCCTCCATAATAATGTGAGCCAATGCCTTAAATTGATATACATGTGTATAACACACACATGTATATGTATACACACACAAATATACACACAAACACATATGCACATTCAGTTAGGTTTGTTTCCCTGGAGAATCCCAACTTAATACAAGCATATTTTAAATATTTCTTGAGAGTAATAATTTTGTTTTCTGCTCATCTTCATTATGATGCCCTAAAAGGCAAGGATAACATTATTTCTTTGCAGTATTTGTAAAATCTGCTGTCCCAGATAGTTAAATAATTATTGGGACTAAATTAATCTGTGTCTTCTCTTTCTGCATGCGTGTGTGTGTGTGTGTGTGTCTATGTGTGTGAATCTGTGTATCTGCAAGCACACACATACTGTATATAAATATGTGTTCATATATGACATATGCATATATACATCTATGATTCCTACACATATATATGTATGCATGTGTGTATGTTTTTATATAAATTGATGAATAAGTAAATAGAAAAGTAGATAGATATTTATACTTAAATTATCCATTTGATTGTCAGATATAACCAAAATATTCTTAAAATTTTAATATATTCATAGACTCAGATAAGGCATTCTTCCTCTTTTCACATTTCAATATATTTCTCATTAACAGTAATCATTTATATGCATGTACACAGTGGAAAGAATATTAATCTATTGAAAAACATGCAAAATGTTATTCATGGTGAAATTTTAAAAATTATTTTTGACCAGAATGACAATAATATTTACATTCTGAAATAATTAACAAAATAATGAAACGTGGAATATAGTAAGACTCAAACATAAAAGCACAAGTTTTTAAAGTGTTTTTTAAAATTTACTGCTCAGCACATAAATGAAAATAAGAATCAAAGTTCTATTCTTTTAGAATTTGCCAAAAAAGTTTAATTCAATCACTATATAATAACAGAATGTAGATATTATAATAGTTATACTTTTATTATACTTTAATGCAATATGAATAAAAAATTCTACATTCCATTAGGATTAATATCCTTTAATATCAGAGATATTAATTCATTTTATTTGGGATTGAACAGGAGCTCTATTTTTATCTGGATGAATTGCAGTTACATATATCTGACCACGCTTAAACTATAACCTGTGTCTCATCAGAAGTACCAGTAGAGTAGTTGTTAGAACTGAAGGTTTGTGTCAAATGATCCTATGGTGAAATCCCTGTTCTACCATGTAATTTTTTTTTAATAAGATACTTAAGCTCTCTAGTGCTCAATTTTTTCATTCATGGAGTATGTGTAAGAATCACACGTATTTTTCTGATTATGACTAAATGAAAAATGCACATATTATAAAACTGGTGAAGAGTCAGCATTTAGCTCAAAATAGTGATGTAAACATCAGATGAACTCTACTAGATTTCCTACAGTATGTGTGTGTGCACATGCTCAGGTGTGTATGAGAGACAGAAAGAAAGTGAGAGAGACAGAAGTAAAAAAAGTAAAATTTTCTTAGCCTTACTTTATTTGTTAAAAATGGGAATTAATAATAACTATTTCATGGCATTATACAAATACTTTAAGAAGACATTATGTATATATATGCATATAGGATGGTTTCCAGTAAATGGACATCAAACAAAGGTTAGCTTCCTTCTTACAAAAAAACATATTGAGGCCCAGTTATAGTGGTAGACTACATTAGCAGGGTGTGTAATGAGGGCAAGGCCATGCGACCATGAAGAGTCTATGACATGCACTATTAAATAGCCATTGCACCACAAAGATAATGAGAGTGTTAACATGGCATACTTGGCCACAGCTACACCTACTGATGATAACACAGTAGATATACATTATCCCTGCTATATTACACTTATTAAGGGCATGCAGTTAGATCCTCTGACTCTAAAACTTATTTTTCCTCACTACACTACACTACACTTTCTTTTGTTCACACACAGTAAACCCTTCATCAATGAAAAACTTTTTGTTTGAAACAGGCTTATAAACTGTTAAAAGAAAAACTTTAGCTGAATTAAATTTAAAGGAGTTTAATTGAGTAACGGAAGATTCACAAATCGGGCAGACTCCTGAGCCACAGTAGGCCCTGAGACTCCAGAAGGAGGCAGCTTTAGGCTAAACTTGATTTAACAAAACTATATACTTTATTTTAAATGAAATAATTTAACCTCTCTAACCTAAGTAAGAGAATTCTCTCTTACTGGATGGGGGATCAGCCTTTTTGTTCTGTTCAGTTGATTATGAACACAGACCTCCATACTGTTGATCTTTATTCACCTATCAGCAGATGGCAAAATAAGTAATCAGAAAGTTTTAAAAATAAACACATTTTAAAAGTCATTGAGAATTTATAAATTGATATAGTTATTACATTATTGACAAAGTCAAATAAGTCAAAACTACTATCATCTAAGAATCCTAGCCATTCTAATAGCAAATAATTTGTGGGATTTAATGTTCACTTGCACACATTCAAGTTTTTAAAATTCCATTTGAATAACAAGCCCTGTTAAGCACTTAACTATATAGTATATATGAAAGTCTCCATCCTTTATGTTTCAAAATATTAGTTTTGTTTTCATTTTCTTTAATGTGCATTAGAATACACAGGACAAATAATGGTATAAAAACATACATTTCTCTGACACTCAAATAACCGTTGATGTAGATGAATTTTAAGGTAAAAACAAAAGGAAATTATGATTAATTTTATTATTTTCTTCTGAACATGAGTTTTGTCTTTTTTCAATCATATTCATAATTTTAGTACTTTATTTTCCAACAGATTGATTTTTAAATTAATTATTTTTAGAGAGCTGTGTAAATAGCGATAACTTCTTAAGTTAAGATGGCTAACAATGAGGCCCAGATTAAGTGTAAGAACATAGTTAACCAGACATGGCCTGATTCTTAGATTTCCTAATTTCAAGAGTAATCACATCAAAATGTTCACTTTATTAAATGCAAAAGATGATATATAGTTGATTTGTTGAAATCACAACATTTACACTTTTACTTTAATTTCTAGTTCCTAGTTCAAAATAATGCATAACAAACATCAGTTAGGTTTTAGTTGCCAGGACAGAAGAGGAGTAACAGTTACTATTTATCAGGTCAGGCATTATGATGCTTTACATTTGTTACCTTGTTTGATCCTTTTAAAAATCCAAAAAGTCTTGCAAAATAAATGAGCCTTGCACCTTCAGATGAAGAACAAAACCTTAGGAAACATAAGTCACTGTTGAATAGGATATATCTATAACTAGAAGTGCTAGCATGTGTGATTCAAAAATTAGTGTCTTGATGTGATGCAGCCCTCTTAAGATGTACTTTTAAACTTTCTATTTGAGTTACTTGAAATCATATTTTCAAAATATGGTTATAATAGTCACAACTAAAATTCGAAGGACATTAAGAAACTCAATACATTTATAGGTACTTATGACAGCTTCACGAAAGGCAAGATAATCTGTTTCATTTATTTTGGGTACAGTATAGAAATAAGAAATAAAACATGCTTTTTATTTTGAATTGTCTCTCCATTTTCTTTTGTACATAAAATGGAAAATCCTGTTTCCCAAGTTGAAGAAGATAGATATGAGGTTAGATGAACAAAGCCAGAGGCAGAGACAAGCAATTTTATTTAGATTTTCTAGAACATCTGTAAGAAATGTTAGACATGTCCAAGATGACTGATGTTTCAGGTAAAGATAAAATGGATAAAGGATAGTATTAAAAGAAATCTTGAGGCAGGAGCCAAGAGGGCCAAACAAGAACAGCTCCTGTCTACAACTCCCAGCATGAGCAACGCAGAAGACGGGTGATTTCTGCATTTCCAACTGAGGTACCCGGGTCATCTCACTGGGGAGTGCCAGACAGCAGGTGCAGAACAGTGGGTGCAGCGCACTGTGCACGAGCCAAAGCAGGGTGAGGCATCGCCTCACCTAGGAAGTGCAAGGGGTCAGGGAATTCCCTTTCCTAGTCAAAGAAAGGGGTGACAGACAGCACCTGGAAAATCGGGTCACTCCCACCCTAATACTGCACTTTTCCAATGGGCTTAAAAAACAGCACACCAGGAGATTATAACCCGCACCTGGCTCAGAGGGTCCTATGCCCACGGAGTCTCCCTCATTGCTAGCACAGCAGTCTGAGATCAAACTGCAAGGCAGCAGTGAGGCTGGGGGAGGGGCACCCGCCATTGCCCAGTTAGTTGTTTGATTAGGTAAACGAAGCGGCAGGGAAGCTCAAACTGGGTGGAGCCCACCACAGCTCAAGGAGGCCTGCCTGCCTCCGTAGGCTCCACCTCTGAGGGCAGGGCACAGACAAACAAAAAGACAACAGTAACCTCTTGCAGACTTAAATATCCCTCTCTGACAGCTTTGAAAAGAGTAGTGGTTCTCTCAGCACGCAGCTGGAGATCTGAGAACGGGCAGACTGCCTCCTCAAGTGCGTCCCTGACCCCCGAGTAGCCTAACTGGGAGGCATCCGCCAGTAGGGGCGGACTGACACCTCACACGGCCAGGTACTCCTCTGAGACAAAACTTCCAGAGGAACCATCAGGCAGCAGCACTTGCGGTTCACCAATATCCGCTGTTCTGCAGCCACTGCTGCTGAAACC
This sequence comes from Homo sapiens, assembly GCF_000001405.40. Lineage (NCBI taxonomy): Eukaryota > Metazoa > Chordata > Mammalia > Primates > Hominidae > Homo > Homo sapiens. The sequence goes on along the minus strand of NC_000005.10, from coordinate 99,563,028 downwards.
CAGGCAAACAGGGTCTGGAGTGGACATCTAGCAAACTCCAACAGACCTGCAGCTGAGGGTCCTGTCTGTTAGAAGGAAAACTAACAAACAGAAAGGACATCCGCACCAAAACCCATCTGTACATCACCATCATGAAAGACAAAAGGTAGATAAAACCACAAAGATGGGAAAAAAACAGAGCAGAAAAACTGGAAACTAAAAATCAGAGTGCCGCTCCTCCTCCAAAGGAATGCAGTTCGTCACCAGCAGTGGAACAAAGCTGGATGGAGAATGACTTTGACGAGTTGAGAGAAGAAGGCTTCAGACGATCAAACTACTCTGAGCTACAGGAGGAAATTCGAACCAATGGCAAAGAAGTTAAAAGCTTTGAAAAAAAATTAGACAAATGGATAACTAGAATAATCAATGCAGAGAAGTCCTTAAAGGAACTGATGGAGCTGAAAACCAAGGCACGAGAGCTACGTGATGAATCCAGAAGACTCAGTAGCCAATGCGATCAACTGGAAGAAAGGGTATCAGTGATGGAAGATAAATTGAATCAAATGAAGCAAGAAGAGAAGTTTAGAGAAAAAAGAATAAAAAGAAACGAACAAAGCCTCCAAGAAATACAGGACTATGTGAAAAGACCAAATCTATGTCTGATTGGTGTACCTGAAAGTGACGGGGAGAATGGAACCAAGTTGGAAAACACTCTGCAGAATATTATCCAGGAGAACTTCCCCAATCTAGCAAGGCAGGCCAACGTTCAGATTCAGGAAATACAGAGAACGCCACAAAGATACTCCTCGAGAAGAGCAACTCCAAGACACATAATTGTCACATTCACCAAAGTTGAAATGAAGGAAAAAATGTTCAGGGCAGCCAGAGAGAAAGGTCGGGTTACTCACAAAGGGAAGCCCATCAGACTAACAGCTGATCTCTTGGCAGAAACTCTACAAGCCAGAAGAGAGTGGGGACCAATATTCAACATTCTTAAAGAAAAGAATTTTCAACCCAGAATTTCATATCCAGCCAAACTAAGCTTCATAAGTGAAGGAGAAATAAAATACTTTACAGACAAGCAAAGGCTGAGAGATTTTGTCACCACCAGGCCTGCCCTAAAAGAGCTCCTGAAGGAAGCACTAAACATGGAAAGGAACAACCGGTACCAGCCACTGCAAAAACATGCCAAATTGTAAAGACTGTCAAGGCTAGGAAGAAACTGCATCAACTAAGGAACAGAATAACCAGCTAACATCATAATGACAGGATCAAATTCACACATAACAATATTAATTTTAAATGTAAATGGGCTAAATGCTCCAAATAAAAGACACAGACTGGCAAATTGGATAAAGAGTCAAGACCCTTCAGTGTGCTGTATTCAGGAAACCCATCTCACATGCAGAGACACACATAGGCTCAAAATAAAAGGATGGAGGAAGATCTACCAAGAAAATGGAAAGCAAAAAAAGGCAGGGGTTGCAATCCTAGTCTCTGATAAAACAGACTTTAAACCAACAAAGATCAAAAGAGACAAAGAAGGCCATTACATAATGGTAAAGGGATCAATTCAACAAGAAGAGCTAACTATCCTAAATATATATGCACCCAATACAGTAGTACCCAGATTCATAAAGCAAGTCCTGAGTGACCTACAAAGAGACTTAGACTCCCACACATTAATGATGGGAGACTTTTAACACCCCACTGTCAACATTAGATGGATCAACGAGACAGAAAGTCAACAAGGATACCCAGGAATTGAACTCAGCTCTGCACCAAGCGGACCTAATAGACATCTACAGAACTCTCCACCCCAAATCAAAAGAATATACATTCTTTTCAGCACCACACCACACTTACTCCAAAATTGACCACATAGTTGGAAGTAAAGCACTCCTCAGCAAATGTAAAAGAACAGAAATTTTAATAAACTGTCTCTCAGACCACAGTGCAATCAAACTAGAACTCAGGATTAAGAATCTCACTCAAAACTGCTCAACTACATGGAAACTGAATAAGCTGCTCCTGAATGACTACTGGGTAAATAATGAAATGAAGGCAGAAATAAAGATGTTCCTTGAAACCAATGAGAACAAAGACACAACATACCAGAATCTCTGGGACACATTCAAAGCAGTGTGTAGAGGGCAATTTATAGCACTAAATGCCCACAAGAGAAAGCAGGAAAGATCTAAAATTGATACCCTAACATCATAATTAAAAGAACTAGAAAAGCAAGAGCAAACACATTCAAAAGCTAGCAGAAGGCAAGAAATAACTAAGATCAGAGCAGAACTGAAGGAAATAGAGACACAAAAAACCCTTCAAAAAATTAATGAATCCAGGAGCTGGTTTTTTGAAAAGATCAATAAAATTGACAGACTGCTAGCAAGACTAATAAAGAAGAAAAGAGAGAAGAATCAAATAGACGCAATAAAAAATGATAAAGGGGATATGACCACCGATCCCACAGAAATACAAACTACCATCAGAGAATAGTATAAATACCTCTACGCAAATAAACTAGAAAATCTAGAAGAAATGGATAAATTCCTCGACACATACACCCTCCCAAGACTAAACCAGGAAGAAGTTGAATCTCTGAATAGACCAATAATCGGCTCTGAAATTGAGGCAATAATCAATAGCTTACCAACCAAAAAAAGCCCAGGACCAGATGGATTCACAGCCGAATTCTACCAGAGGTACAAGGAGGAACTGGTACCATTCCTTCTGAAACTATTCCAATCAACAGAAAAAGAGGGAATCCTCCCTAACTCATTTTAGGAGGCCAGCATCATCCTGATACCAAAGCCTGGCAGAGACACAACCAAAAAAGAGAATTTTAGACCAATATCCTTGATGAACATCAATGCAAAAATCCTCAATAACATACTGGCACACCGAATCCAGCAGCACATCAAAAAGCTTATCCACCATGATCAAGTGGGCTTCATCCCTGGGATGCAAGGCTGGTTCAACATGCACAAGTCAATAAATGTAATCCAGCATATAAACAGAACCAAAGACAAAAACCACATGATTATCTCAATAGATGCAGAAAAGGCCTTTGACAAAATTCAACAACCCTTCATGCTAAAAACTCTCAATACATTAGGTATTGATGGGACGTATCTCAAAATAATAAGAGCTATGTATGACAAACCCACAGCCAATATCATACTGAATGGGCAAAAACTGGAAGCATTCCCTTTGAAAATGGGCACAAGACAGGGATGCCCTCTCTCACCACTCCTATTCAACATAGTGTTGGAAGTTCTGGCCAGGGCAATCAGGCAGGGGAAGGAAATAAAGGGTATTCAGTTAGGAAAAGAGGAAGTCAAATTGTCCCTGTTTGCAGATGACATGATTGTATATCTAGAAAACCCCATCATCTCAGCCCAAAATCTCCTCAAGCTGATAAGCAACTTCAGCAAAGTCTCAGGATACAAAATCAGTGTACAAAAATCACAAGTATTCTTAGACACCAATAACAGACAAACAGAGAGCCAAATCATGAGTGAACTCTCATTCACAATTGCTTCAAAGAGAAGAAAATACCTAGGAATCCAACTTACAAGGGATGTGAAGGACCTCTTCAAGGAGAACTACAAACCACTGCTCAGTGAAATAAAAGAGGATACAAAGAAATGGAAGAACATTCCATGCTCATGGGTAGGAGGAATCGATATCATGAAAATGGCCATACTGCCCAAGGTAATTTACAGATTCAATGCCATCCCCATCAAGCTACCAATGACTTTCTTCACGGAATTGGAAAAAACTACTTTAAAGTTCATATGGAACCAAAAAAGAGCCTGCATCGCCAAGTCAATCCTAAGCCAAAAGAACAAAGCCGGAGGCATCACGCTACCTGACTTCAAACTATACTACAAGGCTACAGTAACCAAAACAGCATGGTACTGATACCAAAACAGAGACATAGACCGATGGAACAGAACAGAGCCCTCAGAAGTAATGCCGCATATCTACAAGCATCTGATATTTGACAAACCTGACAAACACAAGCAATGGGGAAAGGATTCCCTATTTAATAAATGGTGCTGGGAAAACTGGCTAGCCATATGTAGAAAGCTGAAACTGGATCCCTTCCTTACACCTTATACAAAAATCAATTCAAGATGGATTAAAGACTTCAATGTTAGACCTAAAACCATAAAAACCCTAGAAGAAAACTTAGGCATTACCATTCAGGACATAGGCATGGGCAAGGACTTCATGTCTAAAACACCAAAAGCAATGGCAACAAAAGCCAAAATTGACAAATGGGATCTAATTAAACTCAAGAGCTTCTGCACAGCAAAAGAAACTACCATCAGAGTGAACAGGCAAACTACAGAATGGGAGAAGATTTTTGCAACCTACTCATCTGACAAAGGGCTAATATCCAGAATCTACAAGGAACTCAAACAAATTTACAAGAAAAAAACAAACAACCCCATCAAAAAGTAGGTGAAGGATATGAACAGACACTTCTCAAAAGAAGACATTTATGCAGCCAAAAGACTCATGAAAAAATGCTCATCATCACTGGCTATCAGAGAAATGCAAATCAAAACCACAATGAGATACCATCTCACACCACTTAGAATGGCAATCATTCAAAAGTCAGGAAACAACAGGTGCTGGAGAGGATGTGGAGAAATACAAACACTTTTACACTGTTGGTGGGACCGTAAACTAGTTCAACCATTGTGGAAGTCAGTGTGGTGCTTCCTCAGGGATCTAGAACTAGCAATACCATTTGACCCAGCAATCCCATTACTGGGTATATACCCAAAGGATTATAAATCATGCTGCTATAAAGACACATGCACACGTATGTTTATTGCAGCACTGTTCACAATAGCAAAGGCTTGGAACCAACCTACATGTCCAACAACGATAGACTGGATTAAGAAAATGTGGCACATATATACCATGGAATACTATGTAGCCATAAAAAAGGATGAGTTCACGTCCTTTGTAGGGACATGGATGAAGCTGGAAACCATCATTCTGACCAAATTATCGCAAGGACAAAAAATGAAACACTGCATGTTCTCACTCATAGGTGGGAATTGAACAATGAGAACACATGGACACAGGAAGGGGAACATCACACACCGGGGCCTGTTGTGGGGTGGGGGGAGGGGGGAGGGATAGCATTAGGAGATATACCTAATGCTAAATGACGAGTTAATGGGTGCAGCACACCAACATGGCACATGTATACATATGTAACAAACCTGCATGTTGTGCACATGTACCCTAAAACTTAAAGTAAAATAATAATAAAATGAAAAAAAAGAAAAAAAAGATATCTTTATGAATGTAAATGTTTATCGTCCATTTTTAACTAATAAGCAAGCTTACTAAAAACTGCACTTCACATTTAATGTTTTAGGGAATTAACTTCATAAATAAATAAGAACTAGAAAAATGATCTGTGTGGACTTTTGGATTGTTTTGTTTTGCTTTAGATGAAATTCTTCTCCATTACAGGACAATATAGGGGCTTAAAAATGAATAACTCCTATTAAATATTATGTCACTCTCAGAAATATCTAAGACGATGCATTATGAAAGTGCATAATGCAGATGGCAATAAGATTTCTTCTCAGTGGAAAATATCTGTACCATCTTTATTTTCACAAGCATTATATTTGTAAACATCGTCAAATTAACAGCTGATGGAATCAATAGTAAGGTATTATATTTACTATTAAAACACATACTTTACTCAGAAATGTTGGTTTCTTATTTTCTCTGAAATTTTTTTCTATAGGTATAGCTTCTTCTTGTCTGTGGTGAGCTTCCTTTTTCTCAAGTCTCTGAAAGGATGTGTGCAAATAGACCTTAACTCGTGTAACATATTTTTGGCTCACTGTAGCATTACTTTTCTATGTAGAGTATTATTTGAAAATAATTGATTACTGCTGAATAAAAATAATCTAATATCTAAGCATCATTTGGCCTATATGTCACTTAGTTTGTATATTGAGAAAAATATTAAATAATTATGACATTTATTATTATTATTTTTTGAAATTCAATACATTTTAATTTTACCTTATATTTGTAAATGAATATGCATCTTTAAGAATATCTTTGAATGATAATAGTTGTTGACTATTTTATTTTTGCTTACTTGCATGCAAGTGGCAATAACTGAACAAAATCTTCAGTAATCAAAGTGACAGTCTCTTTTTTAATCCTTGTGATCAAATTCAATCACAAGATATTGTGAATTTTTTTCTGATGCTTCCAAAGTATTAATTATTAAATGAATGAATAATGAACTGTGATTACAGGGATGTCAATTTGTGAGATGAAGGGTGAACAATAGTAAAATATTTAAAGAGAGAAAAGTCAGAGAGTTCATATCTCCATTTGATATCATTTAGTGTTATATACCTTCCAATATAAATGTTGACTTATTCTGTCAAACAGGTTCACAACCCTTGAACCATTGGGTAGCCTTCTACTATAATTTTCTCTATGGTGTCATTAATTTCAATATTATGATAATATAGGTTTTCAGAAAAGTCTTCAATTTTAATTATGACTAAGTCATGGGGATGTGAGGGACTATGGAATTTGATGCATCAGTGAACACCGAACATAAAATCTATTTTGTGGAGTTACCATCATGAAGGTTCTTTTAAAAAAGTTTATAAAACAATGTCTACATGTATCTGTTAAAAAAAGAATGGTTTCTGTCAAACAAATTCCATAAAACATTGACCCTTTTGAAAAAATTTTACAGTCCTTAATTTTACAGTATCTTCAATTTACCTTACCTGAACTGGACCTGGAACAATGAACATTATTTAAGGAGTTTCCCCAACAATTTTTTATTCATGTAAGAGCTGAATTAATATCACTGAATGCCTTTATATCTTCTGGAACAAAATATTTTGAATTAAAGAGCAGTTACTATAGTCACCATAAATATTGAATACAAGAAAAGTTTCTAAGGAAAGATTTTCTTCTGGCCTGTCTCTCAAAATACTAGCTTTATATACTCTTGCTTTCTTTGAAATTTGAGTTTCTTAATTCTATGACAGGTACTTATCTGCAAATACAATATTCACTTATTTCTTTCTTCTTACTAATAATATCCATTTTTTTTGGACTGACATTGTGTCTAGATAAGTTTCCTGATCTCTTAACAATTCTTGCAGCTGGAGATGGCCCATCATGCATTATTGACAATGTAATGTTAGCAGAAATTATTGGTTAAAGCTCAAGACATCATTTTGAAGGAGGGAAAAAAAAGCTGGCTTTTCTTTTTGCTCCTTCTAGTTAAGGATATTTGAGTAGGAAGATAAAAGCCTGTATCATGAAGCTATCATACCAACACTGGATGACTAATTAATTTGGTAAGCCAATAAATCCAATTGAGTTAAGATATGTTTTTCTGTTTTGTGCAAATAAACATAATCCTAACAGATAAAAAGAAAGATAGACAAATGCAGGAAGAGCAAGTAAATAGCAGAAAAGAAAAACTTAATTGACTGTCTTGTCTTAACCAGGAAAAATGTTATAGTATACATTGAATCTAATAGAATGAGAAATTCAAAGATCTATTTTGCAATATTCAAAAGAAACACACTTCTAAATTATCTCTGCTTGATTCAGCCAGGAGAGTGTTACTAAGGCACAGAAATGTTTTAAATTTATTTTTATATTTTGTGATATTATAATATTTTTATATTCTTGAGAATATTATTTATAATATTTAATACTAGCACTCAAAAGCAGCACAGACAATATGTTAGAAAATACTTAAAATTACTATATGGAAATTTTATTTATTGAGATAATTCAGCATATATAATTAATGTCAAAAAATAGAAGTTAGTGACTTTGTTTATTTAACAGAAAAGAATCAACAAAGCACCAGTAACCATCATAAAATTAAATTGTGCAAAATACTACTTATCAATGGAGAAGATATTCCAGTGGCAGTAGGAAATGAAAAGGAAAATATCACACAAGATAAATTTTCAAAGACCACAGCAATTCTGGATTTTTAAGGAGTTTCTCTGACAAAGAAACTATGCAGATAATACATACTATCTGAAACATAGATGGTGAGAATTCCTAAGACATCCAAAAGACCTAGTTTACTATCATAAAAATTCATCTGTTATGAAAGTGCCACAATTTATCTCTGAAGCGTATGGAACAATTAAAAAGTGATAGGAGTCTATTAGTCTGTTTATTCTAGGAGAATACCCTTTATATTGTTTAAACCCGTTGTCACGTATAAAATATGAACAACCAGTCTTTGTCCTCAAAATAATCCATTTTGAAAACCATAGATAATCGTTTGCTCCCTTGGTTATATATTTCCTATATTATATAATTCTGAATCAATAATCTACAATAAAAACCTTTTAAATCATTCCACTTATTGTCACTATTTCTCTAAATACCTTTTTAAACATGAGAGCAATAAAGAACTATAAAATTGTAACATAATATGAAAAATATTATTTTAGAATAAAAAATAACGAGAGGTCATTTAAACTTGACCAGTATGCTATGCATTGATACCACCAAAAAAATCATTAGTAAGTAATCTCGCTTATGCATGAATTGCTTAATTAAGGGTTATGTATTTTTTTCAATTCAAAATAAACCAAATGTCCTTTTTTCGTGTTGGTTCCTAGATCTTGCATTTCCTCGCTTTTCCACATGATAGCCCTCTACTTTTTTGAAGAGTTGTCATGTTTTCTCTGAAGATTTCTTCTTCGGGCTAAATCTCAAACAATTTTCTAATATAAACAAAGTTTTAAATTTTCTCAATATTATAGTGGCCCTCTTTTGAAAAAATATGCATTGCAAAAATTCTCTTCTTTTTAGTATATCCACTCTCACCTCCAAGACTAGAAAATTGTTCATACTTACAATTGGTTATTGAGCCCAAATGTGGAATTTCACATGAATTACAATTTTGTATTTTGAGAAGTTTTAAATTCTTTACCCTTGTTAGCACAAATAAATATTGCTGAGCAGAGAGGTGAGTGGGTAAAAGAGTTAAAAAAATTGTTTCCATGACCACCTCAGAATAAAGTCCAGCTGGCTTCTCTTCATATTTGCAAATCTCCATAAAGAGAAGAGTATTTAAAATTGTCCATTGTGGAATTCTGCTTTATAATGGAAATATCAAAATTTGTATTACAAATACACCTTTTTGTTTTAATCGGGATTATTTTTCTCCATTTAGACCTCTCATTCTTTACTCACTCCTTAGATCACTGGCATCAATTCAGGTATCTCATCTCTACATTGTAATAATCCTGTAGGAATGTAATTTGCCCAAGTCAGAGTATTTAAATCCATGTGTCTTTTTCTAAGGGCTCTGTATTCTTCTTAGGACTCAAGTCTTGCCAAATACCATTTGTTCTCTCCTTTACAGCTTTATGAGTTTCCTTATAGACAGAATAGTCAGAAATTAAATGGGAGCTGAGGAATTAATTATGTTTTCTCTGTCATTTCCTTTTGTTACAGCATTTATCTCAAACTCTGGGCAGATTAATTTCTCATGTTGTGGCTTTCCAGGAGAGTAGCTCATTCTAAACTTCAGCTTTCCAGTCAATTTTCTAATGTTAATGACAATGATCTATCTTGTAACTGAGACTCCCCGTCTTTTTCCATATCCATTTAAATTGCTCAACATTGGTCTGATGCTATTGTAGTACTGTCACCAATAGCAGAAATACATTTATATTCTCTCTAGTTTATTATCATATTGCAATTTTATTTCTCTTTCTCTCTATCTTATTTCAACTCAAACAGTTTTCAGTGTTTCTCCAAACCATTTTTTTTCTGAAAAGTGACATCTCTTCTAAAAACTCAGTTTTATTTAGCACAGTATTCTTCTTCATTTCTTTATTTCTGCTTTTCTATCTTCCATATATCAGGCTTTATTTCTTAATTTACCTGCTTTCAACCTGTGTCTTATTCAGTATGTATCTTCGGTTTTGGCAAATGTGTACATTCTGTGGCAAATAAATTACATCAATTGATGTAATATTTAATTCATTTAATAATCTGTATGTCACATTAACCGTGCATAAGGATCTTACTATATCAGAGGAATAAAATGAAAATTACAAAACTCTGGACCTCCATTTTCTACTAAAAGAAGACATAGAATTTGAATAGTTGTATTATATATGCTGCTGTCTGTTAAAAGAATATTTCCCTTTTACTCGAGACTGTATTCTTAATCATCTGACCTGCCTCATTTTTAGCATATACTTCTAGAATTATTTCTTTCTCAAATTGAGTTTGATGACCAACTTTTGTGGCCTGATAGCACCCATATATAAAATAGCTGAGCGACTTATCATGAAATATCATAATGTCTGGCTTGTTTATCACTCTTAGGACCTGTGGCTTCCTTCAATATACATATACATCTCTATATTTATAATGCTTAGAGTACAGATACTCATTACATAGCTTTTGAATGTCCAAATGATTATATACTATAATAAAGGTTTAAAATACATACCATTGGGAAGATGGATTATATCCTTTGCACAATATCTTATTTGCCTTTTATTAAAATTCTTCATTTACTTGATGATTATTTTATTCTTTTATATAAAATTTAAGAAATATTCTCTGCATTTTGTGGAATTGAAATTTGTGAATTACTTATATTTTTCTTCTTAGATTTATAGCATATACTAGCTGAATTAATCCTGAGAGATTTGGAATATTATTGCATTATTCTACCCAATTGTGATTTAAATTATATGCTTATGTTTAAAACTGTGTGTCCCACACCCAATTAAATTGTCTCTGTTGATTAGATATTATCATGACTGTCAGTTAAAGATGAATGGAGATCTCATATTAATATCATCATATCAATTTCAATTTTAAATAAGACCTTTGAATGATTCTCATACAAACACCAGACTTATATTACTCTATCCTGAATTGTATAAATGTTTCTCTAATATTTTAAAGCCCACTAATAGCATCGTTAAGTTGCTAGCTCTGAGTTAACTTGTCACTATGCATTTTTATAAATGCCTCTTGTGGGATGTTCTTTGGTAATTTTGTCAATGAAGGTCCTGAAGGTACCTGAGTAGAGGCTCCCAAACAACATGAGGGGCCACATAGTAATCTATCTGTAGAGATTAAGAACAAAATGCTGCTCAGATGAACAAATTGTGTTTCTCATTATGGTGAATATAAATATGAGGAATACATTTTCATTCCCAAGATTTAATTTTATCCACTTAATGTAAGTAATAAGTGAAGTAAGATAACACCGATTTATGCTAAAACTCAGTCATACACTCCAATGTTTAAAAAAAATTAAAATTAAAAGATCTGATGATTTGTATCTGTTCTCTTCAAAAATCTGTAGTTACATTCCTAAGTATTATCATCTGTGAAATGAAGTATCTGGATATACTAAGGCTGTGACTGAATTCACCTGGATTCTGTCTTATTACATTTGAAATCAATACTTGAGAATCTTTGTAAAGAAAAGTAACTCAGGCCCTTGCTAAAGTGACTTTTATGGGCTGAAAGGGTTCAGAGGCACTAGATGAATACAGATCTCCACCATTTGATTTAATTGTTGGTTACACGGACTTTTCTCTTTCCATCGCCAGCCCTTTAAGAAAGTCAATAGGATTTTAAGAGAGAGACTGCAGGAGAGTTAAATTACACATTAGATTAAGAAGAAGAGATAATGCAAATAGATTGCTTACATGTCTAATTTCTTATCAAGCTCTAAACACACAATGTTCTATCTAGCAGTAATAGGAGATCAAGTTTGAGGATAATTGAGCATATTCTGCTGCCAAAAGAAATGATCCATTAATGGGATAATGTGCCACAGAACGTGTTCCTGTCTTGAGATTTTCACAAATATAAGAGACACAATAAATTTAGGTAACTATCCTACACTATCTTTTAATTTAAAACACACACAAAGTCGGAGATCATTACTGCTCCTGCCCCACTGCCTAGAAGATAGTAGTAATAATGATACTTCTACTGCTACTATAATAATGTATACTATGATAATAATTTTTATAATAATATAATAAATGTATACTATAAATGACTTATGTGTTTCATCTCATTTTCTTTATTGCAGAATCACATGAAGGTATATTTTTAGCTTATGATGTTTTTCTTGATAAACTTCTAAGCACAATAATTGTTTATTCATTTAGGTAAAAAATTTCAACAATCTCCTATTAGGTTCTACTTTTTAAGTTTGTGGAATAATATTGATAACTTCCTTCATTTTTTCCATTTATAATAAAGTATATTTTAAGATATTAACACAACTTGGGGAGAAGAGAATATCTTAATTAATATTACAATTTTATCAACATATACTCATAAACATTATATTATGTCCTATAACTGCTAGCCAGTTCTCACTGAACATTCCTGATTCTCTTCCTTTCTTAAATATTTCATTTGTGCTAATTTCCCTTCAATCTTACAGCTGACATATATATCAAAAATCTCTTTGGATAAAAAGATAAAGTTTTAATTGAACTTTATGAAAAGTAGTATCCTATTTTCTTTATGCTAAAGGGATATAATCACATTTTCAACTATGTCACACAGCAAATAATGAAGACATTAACCCACTATATAATTTACTTTGGAAATATTTTTAAATGTCTGCAAATAAGAATAAAAGTGATTCTCAAATATATTTTTGATTGAATTGTAGATAGCTGCCAATGTTTGATAACTTTGACTTACAAAAATGTCACATTTTGTTTATTTAATTTCATACACACATTTACATTTGTGAGAAATGCTGAACTTGATGTTTCCCATTAGTGTAAGAAACCCTAGTAATTATAATTTAAAGTTTATTTCTTTTTCTATTTTTCAAAAAGTGTAATGTTACCTTTGCCATGAGAAATATACCATATGTCCTCCCTTTGCTGTTTTCCATCTTTCAAATGGAAAATTCAGCTGTTTAAAGACAACTCTCATAGAGCATTTTCAGAAAATTTTCAGGTAGCTTGGCACAGAGAAAGGGAGTTGGTATCTGGAGCCAAGAAGAGGCAGTTTAGGATACCTACTCAGCCCTTGTGTGACCTTGGTCCTCCTCATTTTGACCTCTCTGAATCTCATTTTCATTCTTTGTTAAGAGGACACTAGAACCTTCCTCTAGAATTAAAACATGTAAACAGTATACAATGCCTAGTCCTGTGCCCAGGACAGTGTACACACTCCGTGCCACTGACCAAATTTGTAAGCACTGAATGTGTCTTTGGTGTAGGCCATGCCCTCTATTCATACGTTTTGTTTTTGTAAACTAGAAATGCTTTGGATATGGCTTTCTAGACTGCATTTTTTACAACACAACCTGTCTTGCATTCTCCAAGCTAGCATTTTTTGTTTTGTTTTTGTTTAATTACTTCTGTTCAGAGCAATGAATATAGAAAAAAGAAAGACCAAAGTAGCAGCATTACAACAAACAAAATGCACCTTACATTGCAAATGCAGACCCTGAGATCAGTGAGGGCGAGCCACACTGGCTTCAGACTTCTGAGTGGGTGGATCTGAAATTCTTTTGTGCTGCAGTTTTGCGGGGACACTTATTCTTTCCCAGTCTAAAGCCATAAACCAGAAAGACTATTGTTAATGAAAACATTTTTCAACCACCTTATTACCCCTACTACAACTCATGGCTAATAATATTGAGTGATCATCATATGTTAATTGCTATATTAAAACATTATCCCATTTAATCATCACAACAACTTTATGAGTTAATTATATCATTATCATTTTAAAGCTGAAGAAATGAAAGCTAAGAGACTTTAAATTAGTGATAGTGTCATACTTTCAACTTAGGATTGTTCCATGTCAGAGCAACAGGCTCTTAGTCATTATACTATACTCACACACTTATTACAATTGAAATTTGGATTATGTATGAGAGATATTTCTCTTTCAGTGAAGCTGTGAAATTTATCAGAAGAGACCAGTTTTTGTTTAGTTTTGTTTATTCCTTTAGAACTGGTTCTAAAAATAAATGTATGCAGGAATCAGATTTTCATATTCCAAAAAAAAGAATTAATTTGAATGCTGCTTAGAAAGGAAAATGTAAGACAATATAGCTGTTGAAACTTATCCTATTTATTTAAAAATAATTTTATTAAACATATGAAGAGATAAGTTAGGCTGAACATGAATGAAAATAGTTTAATTTTGTTTTTATTTTGTTCTCCCAGATAGATTTCTGTAAAACAGCTACTGCTGAAGCAAATATCCATAGTCTACCATAGCAGCTAAGCTGCTTTGTAACTCTTCATATTACAAAATCTTTGGAATCTATAGTTTTAAAAAAATCAGTCTATGTTATTTACTTTTAGTAGGGATCATACCAGGATGATTATTTGAATTTAGCAGATGTCTCCCATTAGAAACACACACATACACACACACACACACACACACACACACATATATATACACACATATATATACATATATGTGTGTGTGTGTGTGTGTGTGTATATATATATATAGATAGATATATGTATGTATGTATTTGGTTATCCTAGGAATTAATTGGAATGTATGACTCTGTGCCTCTGGGTTTTTTGAACAACCAGGGTTAAAGGGATATTAGGTTATTGCCAAGTTTGATATGGTAGTGAACACAGAGTCTTCTTTCCCTATGCTAACTCTTGGTTCCTTTGCAAGGGACTCTTGGAGAAGTTCTAGGCCAGTGCCCTCATTGTCCTCAACACCTGTGAGTCAGTCTTGAGAGGGAAGGTAATATGCTACTGTGCTAACTAAAAATAAGTAAAGTACAGTGTGAAGAGACAGCGATCCAGCTTGGCTCTGTCATTTGTTAGCTGTATTTCCTCAGTTTCTTCATCTGTAAAGTTCTAATAGCATCTGCATAATAGGAGTATTGTGGGAAGAAAGAGATAAGAAAGGTGACAACATTTATTAAATAGGTAGTGCATGCTGAGTATTCACTTTTACATGGATTTTTTTTTCATTTTCATAATCTCAACATTCAATAAGTATTATAGTTACCCATTTGGGTTTTATTTTTTTTTAGGTTCAGGAGTACATGTGCAGGTTTTATATATAGGTAAACTTGTGTATTGGGGGTTTGTTGTACAGATTATTTCATCACCCAGGTACTAAGCCTAGTACCCAATAATTTTTTTTCTCCTGTCCCTCCTCTCACCTTTCACCCTCAACTAGGACCCAGTGTCTGTTTTTGCTCTCTTTGTGTCCTTGAGTTCTCATCATTTAGCTCCCACTTATGACAGAACATTTGGTCTTTGGTTTTCTGTTCCTACATTAGTTTTCTAACCCTAATGGCCTCCATTTCCATCTAGGTTCCCACAAAAAACATAATCTCATTCTTTCTTATGGCTACATAGTATTCCATAGTGTATATGTACCACATTTTCTGTATCCAATCTGTCATTGATGGGCATTTAGGTTGATTCCATGTCTCTGCTATTGTGAACAGTGCTGCAATGAACATTCACGTCCATGTGTCACTATGGTTGAATAATTTATATTCCCCTGGGTATGTATACAATAATGGGATAGCTGGGTCAAATGGTAGTTCTGTTATTAGCTATTTGAGGAATCACCACACTGCTTTCCACAATGGTTGACCTAATTTACACTCCCACCAATAGTGTATAAGCATTCCTTTTTCTCTGCAACCTCATCAGCGTCTGTTATTTTTTGACTATTTAATAATAACCATTCTGCATGAAAAAGTCAAAAAAACAGATGCTGGTAACATTGTGGACAAAAATGAACACTTACACACTGTTGGTGGGATAATAAATTAGTTCAACCATTAAGGAAGACAATATGGCAACTCCTCAAAAGACTAAAGATGGAAATATCATTCAATCCAGCAATATCATTACTGGGTATATACAAAAAGGAATAGAAATCATTGAATTATAAAAACGCATCTACATGTATGTTCATTGCAGCACTATTCACAATAGCAATGACATGGAATCAACCTACCTGCCCATCAATGATAGTCTGGATAAAGCAATAGTGTCACATATACACCATGAATACTACACAGCCATACAAAGAATGACATAATTTGTGTGTGTGTGTGTGTGTAAACATGAATAGAGCTGGATGCCATCATCCTTAGCAAACTGATGCAGGAACAGAAAACCACATGTTCTCACTTATAAGTGGGAGCTAAATGATGAGAACACATGTACACATAGAGGGGAACAAATATACTGGAGCCTATTAGGGGGTGGAGAGTGGGAGGAGGGAGAGAATCAGGAAAAATAACTAATGAGTACTAGGCTTAATACCTGGGTGATGAAATTATCTGTATAACAAAAACACACCATAATGCAAGTTTACCTATGTAACAAACCTTCACAGTTACCCCTGAACTTAAAATAAAAGTTTAAAAATAGCCATTTTGACTGTGTGAGATGGGATCTCATGGTGATTTTGATATGCATTTATCCAGTGATAAGTGATATTAAGCTTTTTTTCATATGCTTGTTGGTCGCATGTATGTCTTCTTTTGAAAAGTGTTTGTTCATGTCCATTGCCCACATTTTAGAGGGTTCTTTGTATTTTCTGGTAAATTTAAGTTCCTTATAGATACTGGATATTAGACCTTTGTCAAATGCAGTTTGCAAATATTTTTCCCATTCTGTAGGTTGTCTGTATACTATTTCTACTGAAACTATTCGAAACGATTAAGGAGGAAGATCTCTTCCCTAACTCATTTTATGAGACCAGAATCATCCTGATACCAAAACCTGGTAGAAACATAACTAAAAAGAAAACTTGTAGACAATATTCTTGATGAACATTGATGAAAAAATCCTCAATAAAATACTTGCAAACTGAATCCAGCAGCATATCAAAATCTAACTCACCATGATCAAATAGGCTTCATTGCCAGCATGCAAGGCTGGTTCAACATACACAAATCAAGCAATGTAATTCATCACATAAATGGAACTAAAGACAGAAACCATATTATTATCTCAATAGATGCAGAAAAAAAAACTTTTGATAAAATTCAACACCCCTTTATGTTACAAATTCTCAATAACTAGGTATTGAAGAAACATGTCTCAAAACAATAAGAGCCATCTATGACAAACCAACAGTCAACATCATACTGAATGGAAAAAAAACTAGAAACATTCGTTTTGAAAACTGGCACAAGACAATTATGCCCTTTCTCACTACTCCTATTCAAGCATAATATTGGAAGTCCTGGCCAGAGCAATCTGTTGAGAGAAAGAAGTAAAGGACATTCAGACAGGAAGAGAGGAGTTGAAACTATCCCTGTTTGTAGATATGAATCTATACCTAGAAAACCACAGAGTCTTGACCCCAAAGCTCCTTCAGCTGATATACAACTTCAGCAAAGTTTCAGGAGGCAAAATCAATGTACAAAAATTACTACCATTTCTATATACCAAAACAGCCAAGCTAAGAGCCAAATCAAGAACACAATCCCATTCACAATTGCCACGAAAAGAATAAAATACCTAGGAATACAGCTAACCAGAGAGGTGAAAGATCTCTACAATGAGAATGATAAAACACTGCTCAAAGAAATCAGAGATGACACAAACAAATGGAAATACCATCCATGTTCATGGACAGAAAGAATTAATATAATTATAATGGCTGTACTGCCCAAAGTAATTTACAGATTTAATGCTACTCCTATCAACTACCAATGGCATTCTTCGCAGAATTAGAAAAAAAACTATTTTAAATTTCATATGCAGCCCCCAAAAAGCCTTAATAGCCAAGGCAATGCTGAGCAAAACTAACAAAGCTGGAGTCATCACATTATCCTAACTATACTACAGGGCAACTGTAATGAAAACAGCATGGTACTGGTACAAAAACAGACACATAGACCAATAGAACAGAATAGAGAGGCCTGAAATAAGATCTCACACCTCTGACCTCCTGATCTTTGACAAGGCTGACCAAAACAAGCAGTGGTGAAAGGACTCCTAATTCAATAAATGGTGCTAGGAGAACTAGCTTGCCATATGCAGAAGATTGAAACTGGACCCTTTTCTTATACCATATACAAAAATCAGCTCAAGATGGATTAAAATCTTAAATGCAAAACCTAAAACTATAAAAACCCTGGAAGACAACCTATGCAATACCATTCTGGACATAGGCACAGGCAAAGATTTCATGATGAAGATGCCAAAAACAAACACAACAAAGGCACAAATTGGCAAATGGGATATAATTAAACTCAAGAGCTTCTGTACAGCAAAAGAAATTATCAACAGGATGACCCATTTTTATAAACAAAGAAGGTGAAGACCAGAGACAATGAGTCATTTGCTCATGGTCACTTGGTTAGGGAGTAGCAGAGGTAGAATTTAAATCCATGTATTTGAGACACTGAAGACTATCTTCCTCATCACTACTCCGGCCAATGTGTAGCACAGGGGAGGATTTATATGTCACAGTTACTGTTTAACACTGACAACAAAGGCTGCTTTACTCATGGAGGAGAAATGATAATATTATCTTTGTTAACAGAAAAGAGCCTGAAGTCTCTATCAGAGCTTGAACCAATTACAGAAACCACTGGATTACTTGCCTGACAGGTTATGGCTCAGGGAAAACAGTTTAAATGCATAATTTTAGGACACTAGCTATCTAAATCTCCACGTAATTTGTTTACAGTAATCACTTTAAATTTTAATTTAATTAGTTTGTTAAGCTTTAATATAAAAATCAGATCTTCTAGGGCGTCTGCTTATTATTTAAAAACAAAACACAACAGTTTATTCATATTTGTAAGTGGCTGACACCAGGAACAATTCTGCCCTTTTAGCCCTGTACATATCTGTTACCGTAAGAGGTTCAGGCTCTCATTCCATCTCCCATCTTCATTTGGCTCTGAACAATCTGTTTTCTGACCACACTCTCACATTCCCTAAATTCTGGAATGCCGCCGAGTGCCTCCTAGAACTTATGAAATGTCATCAGTTTAAAAAAAGAAAAGGTTTTGGCTCTTCCTTGAGGTGATGCATTATTTCTCCTGCAGCCTCCTTATGGCGTGTATTTTTGTTATTATTATCATTATTGTTTGTTTGATTTTATCTGCCCACATACCTCAAACCTCTGGGATGGCAGTAGATAAAATAATCTTTAAATTCCTTATTGATATTTCAAAGCCATTTTCTCTCAAAAACAAAAACAAAACCACTCAGCTTTGAATCACATGCCATCAACTATATATTTACTAAATATCCACTTTAGAATCACTCTCCTGTAGAGTTCTTGGATCACCATCACTCTCCAACACTAGTGCTGCTATAAATCTTGGCACTTTTAAAGTCCTGGCTGAACATAGCTTATTCTTTCTCTGGTTTCTCAGATCCTCCAGTGATTTTTGACTTCTATCCTACTTTAGCCATTCATTCTCATGATCATAATCCTACCATAGGTTTTCTACTCTGATTGTAAATTTGAGTCATCTGTGGAGCAGCTAAAAATATGAAACCTCAGGACCCATACTGGGGTTTTGTGACCTGCTTTAATTTGTTATAATTCACAAAAAATCAAGAATCTCTGTGATTCACATTATCAATTATTGTTATTATTGTAATCTCAAACTCAAGAATCCAATTATTTAAAAAGTACCACTTTATTCTAGCCTAGTTCCTCTAATGCTTCAGATTGAGAAATCTTTTGACTTTTATCAGAATCTGCCATAATACTGCTGAGGTTGTTGTATCTCACACATTAAAATCTTCACTTTCTAACAGCTACAACTCCATGACATGATTAAAATCACTCTTTTCCGTTTACCCTCATTCCATGTCACTGTCTGGCACAATCTCAATTCTGGTTAATTCTATATCCTTTCTACTTGAATAAACCTCCCAAACAGAACCTATCTGAAGAAAATTACAGTTGGTCTCATTTAAAATTTATAACCACTAACCTAGGCTCTATAACATCAAGAATCTCTTTTGTTTACTGTTATATCACAAGTGCCTACAGGAGCATTTAGAATTCAGAAGAGGCACAATAAACATTTGTTGAATAAATATGTAAGTGCTGAATTGTTGTCTAGTGTAGTCCAGCAAAATTATTATATTTCTATTGCTTCATTTCCTAGTCTAGTATTTCTTATCTTATTCTTTTCTTAGAAAACACCAATAATATCTCTCCATTCTAACTCTCAGTTAATGATTTTTCTTATTATATTTCTGAAAAAAATAGGACAACTGCAAGAGAACATAAGAACTACTTCTACTCACTTACATGCTGCTAATCCCATATGCTCAGCCTTTCTTTCCTCTTGTTACTAAGGAGTCTAACTCCTTGATTATACACTGGATTCCATCCCTTTCTCAGACATTCCTCAATATTTATCTGGATCACCTATTTTTTAAATCTCTACTGAATCAAACCAGCCAGCAATACCACATGTAATTTATTTGAAACAAATTTCCCTTGACCTTCTATTCGTTCTACAGACCAACTACATTATTCTGCGCTTTTAAATCACACTCCTTTGAAAGAGACTTTTAGTCTCCAATTTCTATTCTTCCATTCTCTCTTGAATATTGCACAAACAAAATTTTTCCCTGCTATTTTACTGCAACTGCTGTCGGCGATGTACCCAATAACCTCCATTTGCTAAATGCTTGATAAATTCTCAAAATTTGCTATATATCGGCAGAATTTGATAGCGTTGATTACTGTTTTATCACTGATATACTTTATTTACTTGACTTCTAGGACACTATACTCTCTGGTTTTTCTTTTCTGCCACTGGTTATCTTCACAATTCCACCACTAATTCTTTCTCCCTTTCAAGTAGACATAGAAATCCCAGAGTATCAGTCTGCATAATTACCTTGGTGATTTCACACCAGCATGTGGCATACATATCATCTATATGGTGATAGCTTTTGGAATTATATATTCAGCCTAAATATCCCCCATGAGCTTCTATATCCAGCTGCCTGATCAGCATTTCCACATAACCATAGAGCAGTATCTCAAAATTCAAAGGTCTGAATCAAAGTCCTGATCTTTCCCTTAACCAAGCCTGTTTCACTTAAAATATTCCCCATTTCAATAAGTGGCATCTCTGTATTTTCAAGTTCTTAGTTTAAAACGTTTGTGTCATTCTAGATTCTTCTACATGTAATCCAGTCAAATCTTTCAGCAAATCCTGTTGACCCCACATTCTGAAAACTCCTCTCCATCCTCATTGATCTCATTATAGTGAACTATTCTTACTTTTATTGTTGCACTAGCCTTCTTTTAAGCCTATGTGTACATATTATCTGTCTATATATATATATATATTTTAAAATACATATATTTTAAAATATATATATATATCTTTAAAAAAATTCACGTATTTTTTTCTGTTTACTCACTTGTTAGAAGGCTTACCAAGACATAAATTATTTTTCTGTTTTGTCTGTTTTCACTGCGTTATTCCCAGCAACTAAAAGGGTATGTGATGCACCAAAAGTGTTCAGTCTTTTCAGTGAAATAGTGAACCAAGAGATTAGTTTTATTTTCCTGCAAGATTCATTATGTGAAAACTTAAAACCTAAGAAAGAGTTTGAAAGTTTACTAATATGAGAAGACACAGGGATGTTTTAGACTACTCTAAAAATTCACAAGTATGAAATGCTGGGTATTAAGTTGATAGATTGTTGTTAATAATTGATATGTCAAAAAATTCAGTACTGAAATTTGAGAAATTCCTGAGTAGACTAAGGCATATCTTCCTTTTTAGTTCAGAAATGAAATGACAGTTAAAAATAATACACTACCAACTATACAGAAAGATGGAATTAATATTTAAATTTTTAAAAATGAAATAAGCACAAAACTCCATTTTAAACAATGAATAAAACATAATAAAAACTTTTTACATGTCTGCAATATATGTAAAAACGTTTCTATAACCTTATACAAAAGCCTTTAAAAGTGATTTTGCACAATAGCAACACTAAGCAAAAAATTTGAGTGAAAAATGCATATGAAAAAGAATTCAAGATGATCAATACACACATGAAAAGTTATTTAACCTCACTAGTAACCAGAGTAAGTTTACATGGTTCTCTGTATTATATTGAGAGTGATTGAAAATACAGACAATGCTCAGTTTTAAGAGAGGAATTAGCCTGTGAAAAAGCCCTGATAAGATAAAGTTTAACATGCTCAAGGCATGAAAGACAGCCAGTGTTTCTGGAATACAATAAATGAAAGAGAAAACTTGAGCCATTGTAGACTACAGGAAAGAGGCAGATTTATTTCGAAGTGAAATGGGGATATTCTTAAAGTTGTATGCAGGTAAATGATAGACTTTGTTTAAATTTTTGAAAGATGATTGTGGCTATTGTGTGAGGATTATATGAGAGCAACAGAAGTGTGGCAGCTCATTAGGTGGTGTCAACGTTATTCTATGTGAAAGATCATGACGTTCTGAACCATATGATATCTGTGAATATGGAAGAGAAGAATAGAAAAACCTTTGGGAGGCCTAATTTTCAGATCTGGCTGCTCGGTTGATATAAAGAATGAGGGGTGAAGAAAGAACAAGCATATGCCAAGAAAATGTTTTATAAATGACAGAGCTGGGATTTCTGCTTGGCTCTGTCTAATTTAATGTCCCATGTACTTTTACAGTGGTAGATATATTGGGAAGTGAAAGAAATTTAAACCAGTATTCTTCATTTAATCAGGTCCCTACAAATGATTAGGGTGTTGTCATGGGCACAAACTTCTGTAAAAGGTGTAAAAGTTCACTGTCTTTCCTCTCAGACTCCTCTTTCTTTCCAGTTCTCCTTATGTTAGTTGTGGCCAAGACAGTTTTAATTCCCCTGAGTTTAAATAAACTTTAGACAGGCTTCCTCACTAACCTTCCAATCTCACTTTTCTTGTAGCAATGACTTAAAAAAAAAATTGTCATTGTAAATTTTTTCCCAACCCATTTGAGATGTAAATCTTTTTAAAAGACTGCCAGTTTTACAACCCAGGAATGATTTTTTTCTTAAGGGCCTGGGAGCCATCTCTTTGAAATGTCATCATCAAGGAAGATAGACATGCCTATCTCTCATTCTCTGTGGCAGGGAAACTAACTTTGGTGGACACTTTGCTTCAGGTTGTGAAACTACTTTCTGTCGTGAAGAAATTAGAAAGTTTGCTTTTCTTTTAGGTCAGGACAATTAGCAAACACAGATGGCGTATGTTCTTTCCCACCTCAGCTCTTAAAAACTCTCCTGCCCTTTTGTTTCAAGGGAATTGAGTTCAGACTACATTCTAGTCTTTCCCCCAATTGCAAGATCCATGAATAAGCCTTCCTTACCTGTTTAACTTTGCCTAGTTTTATTTAGTAGGGGGGGGATTTGGTGTAGGCAAAGGTGTTTTGGGAACCCAACTGACAGGAAAAAAAGTTAGCGCTAGAATTAGTTTAGATGTAGTGCACATGTGTGTCATACTGCTGTTACTTCTGTGTTCAGTAATTGCTAATAAGGTTTCACAGGCTAATAAGGGCAGCACTAATATTCAAGCATCAATTTGTTTGAAATTAATGCTAATGATCTTAACAATATACAAAATTATCTGTCTCATGTTTAGTGATCCATCAACAGGACTTTTAATTTAAAACCATTCTAGCTGGGCCAGGCACAGAGGCTCAGGGCTGTAATCCCAGCATTTTGGGAGGCAGGTGGGAGGATCACTTGAATCCCAGCAGGTGGGAGGAAAACTTGAAGGCGGGAGTTCAAGACCAGCCTGGGTAAGAAGATGGGACACCGCCCCCCACACCACATCTCTACAAACAAAGTAAATAAATAAATAAATAAGCCAGGCACAGTGGCATTGCCTGTAGTCCCAGCTACTCAGGAAGCTGATGCAGAAGGATGTATTGGGCCTAGGAATTCCAGAATGCAGTAAGCTATGATCATGTCACTTCATTCCAGCCTGGAGCAGAGACAGAGTGAGACTTTGTTTAATATATATATATATATTCTAGTTGATTCTTACTTATGTCCAGAATTTGTCACTATGAGCCATCTTTTTGTCTGGCTCTACATATATTTTCATTCTAATTGCCCACTTCTATCTCACCCATACTTTTTAACCTCACTATTTTTCTCTACTTAGCTATGCCTGAGCACCTACATGTCTCCTTCATCTTATAATGAATTGTCCAGTTACATTTTTACAGAGCCTTATTTTCTGGTTGAATACCACAAAATGCCGCTGATGATGATGAAACAAACAAAAACATTAACAAGAATTTAATCAACAAACGGTGGTCATGCCAAAAATTATTTAAGACAACACACTGCAAAAGGAAGTACAAAGTAAATAAGTTTTGAAATCTTAAAGTTTATACTAAAAGAAACTAAAAAGAGATTTTGACAAATTTAGAAACAATCCTAGAATTTGCATAGCATTTCCAATAACAAGATTGAAGCTGAAAGAAACCTTTCTAAACATTAACTAATAATAAAGGTCTTCATCAACCATGCTAGAAGAAAGACTGAATTACAATTTTGTATTTTTGTAGAGACAATGCTATTACACAATTGTCATCATATGACATGGTAATCAGAAAAAATACAAACAAAATGTAAGAAAATGTATTACAGAGGTTGGTGAGAAAGTTAAATGGTGAAAATATGATTTTAAAAATATTTCTGGTGTTCAAAATTTGTAATTTTATAAAATTGGCTATTCATTGTGATTTATATAGTAATGTTTGGACTTAATGTGACAATTGCAATTTTGCCTTTTTGTTTTTTTACACAGAGGACACATCAAATTTTCTAACTTTCAAAACCTGATACACCTAAAGCAGGCTGTCTTAACGTCTCAGATAGAAGTTTTCTAAACATGTTTTCTTAAAGAAATAGGCAGTTTATTTAAAAAATGAAATAGGCTTCTGAGATTTCCACAGAAAATAATTTTAGTATTTTAATCGTGTATAACTGGTCAGAGAGGAGACATTATTTCAGGATCATTGGAAGTATGTCTGAGAAATATCAGAGAGGGTCAAATCATTGAAAAAATGATGTTAATTACCTGAGGATTTTGCAGCATGATGTAAAGCGAGGCTGGTGTATAAGATCAGGTGTGGAAGGCTGGACTCCAAATCTAAGATAAAAGTGTCAGTAAAAAAGATGAAATGTGAAGATGAGGGGAAGAAAACCAAAATAATGTATATAAAATTATTTACAGTTGAGGTCTGTTTGGGGGTTTAAACCTGTCAGGGGATACTATAATATTGCATATTAATGGCTCTTTTGTGACTTGTTAAAAATGGAGTTATTTGCAATACAAATAACTAAGGATTCCCAGAAGTTCAGAATGTAAAGAAAGTCCTTTAAGATGCTCAAAGCTGTGAAAGCAGTGCCTGTTAGGAAAAAATGTGCAAGTAAAATCATCACCTTCATAAGCTACATATGTCTTTAAAGTGCAAACATTTCTCAGGTTAGGTATTTCTCTGTGACCCATTTTATTTGCATTTTGGGTGAGTTCACGGTGAAATAAGAAGGTTCTCAACGTTACTATCATCTTGGGTATTAACTGACCATCAGTCTGTTTGATCATGACGAAAACTAACACAACATTAAAATACAGTAATAATGATCATATTGAATGATCATTACTGAATGACTCTGAAAAGACTCGTTATAACTATATTTAAGGAAGAAGAAATTTCCACAAGTTAAATTGTTCAGAGATCTGATTTTTTTTGTTTGTTTGTTTTCACTGTCTCTGACATCATGATGCCAAATAAAGTTTTTCTCAATTATTATTATATATAAAGTTTAAAAGCCAGTATAAATCATCCCATGCGTTCTTTTTATGTACAAAAAGTCTTTATGTGCATTAAATAGACATCTGGGTACTTGTGCTTTGATAGTTTAAACTTCTTTTTACGTTAATCGGAAAAAGAAATGTTAGTTTTTAAGAAATAATATTTAAAACATCAAAATCATTTAGCGTTTAATATTACACTCCAATTTTCTTAGTTGAGGAAAGTCCTGTTTGATCTGAAGATTATATGTTGTCCCTGAACTTACTTCTGATTTTGTGATGAGCATTGCATTTTTTTGAGCATTTCAGAAAATCTTATAATGCACAAATAAGATCACTTGAGCCCAGGAGTTTGAGACCAGCCTGGGCAACATCATAGGACTCCATTTCTACAAAACAAAACAAAAAGCCTAGAACGGGAAGAGCTGCCTCTCGGGGCTGAGAACATCCAACTGCACCAATTTAGATCCTGAAATTACCCTGCCCCACAAGCAAAAAACATGGTCACAAAGTGGCCCAAAGGAGGCAGGCCTGTGATTGCACACTGACGCTCACGACGTGTGCAGCTGGGAAGGGCTGTGAGAGGCAGAGCAGCTGCCAACACGTAGTCCTCAGCCAAAACCCAGGGCCCCCGCCACTGGAACTGACTCCTCTCCAGGCAGCACTCCCAGCACTGGGCATCCCCTCACCTTGCCCTGGAGAAGCGCTCCCACCCAAGGAGCCAATGCAGTCATTCTCGCAGATAATCTTTTCTCGCTTTGTTTGGAAGACAGAGTCTCGCCCTGTTGCCCAGGCTAGAATGGAGTGGCACAATAGTGCAACCTCTGCCTCCCACGACCAAGCGCAGGCATGGTGGCATGTGCCTGTTATCCCAGCTACTTGGGAGGCTGAGGCAGGAGAATTGCTTGAACCTGGGAGGCGGAGGTTGCAGTGAGCTGAGACTGTGCCACTGCACTCCAGCCTGGGCAACAGAGCAAGACTCTATCTTTAAAAAAAAAAAAAAAAAAAAAAAAAAGAATGCTAGTATCAGCCAGGCACGGTGGCTCATGCCTGTAATCCCAGCACTTTAGGAGGCTAAGGCAGGAGGATCACTTGAGCTCAAGAGTTTGAGACTGGCCTGGGCAACACAGTGAGATCCCATCTCTACAAAAACATTTAAAATTAGCCGGGCACAGTGGTGTACACCTGGAGTCCCAGCTACTTGGAAGGCTGAGGCAAGAGGGTTGCTTAGGCCCAGGAATTCAAGGCTGCAGTGAGCTGTGATCACACCACTGCACTCCAGCCAGAGCAACAGAGTAAGACCCTGCCTTCACAAAAAAAAAAAAAAAAAAAAAACTCAGGTTCCAACCCTGGAGTTACTAAATCAGGATCTCAGAATGCAGAGATCTGGCATTTCAAAAAAAACTTCCCCTGGAGATTCTGATCAGCCAGGTTTGGGCCAGATGAACTCTAAGCTCACTTAAACCTTTGACATTTTATGAGTCTATTAAATCGAGTACAAAAAATGCTGAGTCCAAACTAAGCAAAACAAATCCCATCTCCCTATTCCCAGCCTCCTTGGATTCAGAAAGCCACACTGCCTGGAGAGTAAGCAGAGAGAGAATTGTCATTAACCCAAAGACCATCTTTGAAAACAGACTGGCTGCGGCTGAGTGCGGTGGCACATGCCTGTAACCCCAGCCCTTTGGAAGGCCGAGGCAGGAGGATCACCTGAGGTCAGGAGTCTGAGACCAGCCTGGCCAACATGGTGAAACCCTGTCTCTACAAAAAATGCAAAAGTTGGCCGGGCACGGTGGCTCACGCCTGTAATCCCAGAACTTTGGGAGATCGAGGTGGGTGGCTCACAAGGTCAAGAGATGGAGACCATCCTGGCCAACATGGTGAAACCCTGTCTCTACTAGAAATACAAAAATTAGCCAGGCATGGTGGCACACACCTGTAGTCCCACCTACTTAGGAGGCTGAGGCAGGAGAATCGCTTGAACCTGGGAAGTGAAGGTTGCAGTGAGCCGAGATCGCACCACTGCACTCCAGTGTGGGCAACAGAGCAAGACTTCATCAAAAAAAAAAAAAAAAAGCAAAAGTTAGCTGGGCATGGTGGCACACATCTATAATCCCAGCTACTTGGGAGGCTGAGGCAGAAAGATGACCTGAGCCTGGGAAGTCGAGGCTGCAGTGCACTGAGATCGTGCCACTGTACTCCAGCCTGGGCAAGCAGAGTGAGACCCTGTTTCAAAAAAAAAACAGGCCAAGCACAGTGGCTCATTTGTGCCTGTAATCCCAGCTACTCAGGAGGCTGAGGCAGAAGAATCACTTGAACCCAGGAGGCTGAGGTTGTAGTGAGCTGAGATCGTGCCACTGCACTCCAGCCTGAGCGACAGAGCGAAACTCCATCTCAAAAAAATAGAAAAAGAAAACTACAATTTGGGTGGGTAGATATTTAGTTCCCTGAACCGTCTGGGTATGGACGGCCCTCCCATTGGGCTGGGACAGGATGCTGATCTCGGATAGCACACGTCCACCACAGTCTGCCATCTGCCAGGGTCTCCTGCCTGATCCAGCCCAGGGCAGGCAGCGGGCACTCACTTGAAGGAGTAGCCGGCAGATTCCAGGAAGGACGCAGGCTCTTTGGCCAAGGACCACATCACCATGGCGGGGTGGTTCTTGTCTCTGAGCACCGGTTCCTCCACCACCCACATATGGTGATGCATAGACACGTTGTTGAAGAGTTGCCAGCGGGCCAGGAGGGAAGGGACAGAGGGTCACGGTGTGGCCCGAGGGCTGGCCAGGCAGAGCGGGTGCACAGCAGGGACTCATGGCAGCATCAGGCCCACAGCAGGACACTCATCGATGACCACAATCCCATACCGGTAACATATCTGCAGCATCTCCTCTGTGTAGGGATAGTGGCTGGTGCAGAAGGTGTTGGCGCCAAGCCAGCAAAGCAGGTTGAAGTCCTTCACCAGCAGCGGACAGTTGAAGCCCTTCCCTTGGATCTAGGGGACAGCAGAGCCGAGTGACCCCTGTCCCTGTCGAAGCGGCACTTCCTCTGAGAGCCAGGACCCTGGAGAACCACCCCATGAGGTCCCCTCTCCAGCCCAAGCACCGGCTCCACCATGGGGTGGTTTGGAGCCATTTGCCTCATTGCCTTGAGCTGCCCTCAACTGCAGGACACAGGGAAGGCTAAAGTGGAAGGTGACCAGAAGCAGCCCCCACGAGGACCCAGGAGCCCCAACGCACGTCCGCATCCTCATGCTTGTTGACGCCGTGGAAATAGAAAGGTTTCCCACTGATGAGGAACTGGCTCTCGGTGACGGCCACAGTGCGGAGCCCCACAGGGAGTGTGTAGAAGTCAAAGGCCCCAGTGACTTCTGTGCAGTCAGCCACACCTACGACAGCCAAAGTGCCAGGTGTGAGCGCCCCGACAGCCTGAGCCCCATCTGGCCTGCCCTACAGCAGGAAGACCCCTCGTGCATGCACCCCAGCAGTCACCTCTGGGCCTGCAGAGAAGCAGCAATCAGAGGCTCTGCCCTTCACTGGCTGACCCTGGGACCTGCCCTTCAAAATCGGGCCTTCTCCTTGACCAGACGAGATGGCTCATGCCTGGAATCCCTACACTTTGGGAGGCTAAGGCAGGAGGATCACTTGAGTTCAGGAGTTCAAGACCAGCCTGGACAACAGAGTAAGACCCCAACTCTATAAAAAGGATTGTTTTTTGAGACAGTCTCACTCTGTCACCCAGGATAGAGTGCAGTGGCATGATCTCAATTCACCACAGCCCCTGCCTCCTGGGTTCAAGCAATTACCCTGCCTCAGCCTCCCGAGTAGCTGGGATTACAGACGTGCACCATCATGCCCTGCAAATTTTCGTATTTTAGTAGAGACGGGGTTTCACCATGTTGGCCAGGCTGGTCTCCAACTCCTGGCCTAAAGTGACCCGCCCGCATCAGCCTCCCGAAGTGCTGGGATTACAGGCGTGAGCCACCATGCCCGGCCTACAAAAAAATTTTTTTTAATTAGCCAGGCATGGTGGCATGTGCCTGTAGTCCCAGCTACTCAGGAGGCCAAGGTAGGAGGATTGCAGCTCAAAGCTGCAGTGAGCTGTGATCAGGCCATTGCATTCCAGCCTGGGTGACAGAGTGAGACCATCACAGAAAATAAATAAATAAATAAATAAATAAATAAATAAATAAATAAATATAAGTAAATAAATAAATAAAAAATCTGGGCCTCCCACCAAGGGTGGGAAACATCAGAAAGCTCAGAGGACCACACCTGCCCGTTCACCTATCCTGGGATCCTGCTGAAGCCAGGGCTACCAGATGGGGGCAAAAGACCTCCCTTAAGCAAGTCCCAAACCACCATTACCTCCCACGAGTACAGGTAGGCGGGGTGTTCGTGCATCAGGTACGGCCACCAGAGGTTGGTACCCAGCACCTTCAGCTGGCCCTGGGTCCCAGCCTGGTTGTCCACGACCTTGTTTTCTGCATTCAAAAGATACACTTCCAACTTGAACTGGTTACTGCACTTGACGGAGATCTGGTAATTCACTAGCCCTGCAGGAGGCAAGAGAGACCAGGGCTTAGGGAGGGACATGACCTGGGTCACACAAACGGGAATGCCCCACAATGACCACTTCCAGGCACCCTCATTTGCTTCTGTTGCTTTTTTTTTTTTTTTTTTTTTTTTTTTGAGATAGAATCTCGCTCTGTCACCCAGGCTGGAGGGCAGTGGCATGATCTGGACTCACTGAAACCTCTGCCTCCCAGGTTCAAGTGATTCTCCTGCCTCAGCTTCTGGAATAGCTGGGATTACAGACACCTGCCACCACATCCAGCTAATTTTTGTATTTTTAGTAGAGACGGGGTTTCACCACATTAGCCAGGATGGTCTTGATCTCCTGACCTCGTGATCTGCCTGCCTCAGCCTCCCAAAGTGCTGGGATTACAGGCTTGAGCCACTGTGCCCAGCCCTGAACCAATGCTCCCGGCCCGCTTTTTTTTAATTTAATTTTTTTTTTTTTTTGAGATGGAGTCTCACTCTGTCACCCAGGCTGGAGTGTAGTGCTGCGATCCTGACTCACTGCAAACTCCACCTCTGGAGTTCAGGTGATTCTCCTGCCTCAGCCTTCCGAGTACCTGGGAATACAGGAATGCACCACCATGCCCGGCGAATTTTTGTATTTTTAGTAGAGACGGAGTTTTGCCATGTTGGCCAGGCTGGTCTCGAACTCCTGAACTCAGGTGATCCAACCGCCTCAGTCTCCCAATAGATTAGATATATTATTAATGAATTGCTTCCTTTAACACCCTATTCATTGAATTTTCCAGTAAACCACAATTACCAATTACTCCTGAAATCAGAAAAGAGGTTAAAAAGATTTTATAACAGTATCCTATGAAATCTACCACTTTCAAGTAATAGTAGTTGAATTACCAAAACCCGTCACTCAAGCCAATGACTACAATTAAGATATCAGTAACATTTCCTAGATAAATAAAGTCAATTAATTATATTTGCATCTGGGAAATAGAGAAAGTACATATAAGCCATGATTTTGAAGTCAAAAGAGAGAGAATATTTGGCAAGGAGGGGTGAGTTATAGTATGTAATTATAACATATAGTAGTTTTTTGTATGCTGGTAACTAATTTTAATTTCCTACATTTTTATGTAGATTTCTGCTATTCTTGTCCTATTTTCCTAATCATCTTTCTATATGGGTGACTACATAAGTCTGAGAATACCAAAAGAGATAGACACAGAACCAATCGGATTCCTTTCTTCTTGAAGCTTCTGCACAGCAAAAGAAACTATCAACAGAGTGAACAGACAACCTACAGAATGGGAGAAAATTTTTGCAACAATGCACGTGACAAAGATCTAATGTCCAACACTGATAAGGAACTTAAACAAATTTACAAGAAAAAAAAATCTCATTAGAAAGTGGGCAAAGGACATAAACAGACACTTCAAAAGAAGACACACATGCGGCCAACCAGCATATGAAAAAAAGCTCAATATCACTGATCATTAGAGAAATGCAAATCAAAACCACAATGGCATACCATCTCACACCAGTCAGAATGGTTATTATTAAAAAGTCAACGCCGGGCATGGTGGCTCACGCCTATAATCCCAGCACTTTAGGAGGCCAAGGCAGGCAGGTCACATGAGGTCAGGAGTTCCAGACCAGCCTGGACAACCTGGCGAAACCCCGTCTCTACTAAAAATACAAAAATTAGTCCAGCGTGGTGGCGGGCACCTGTAATCCCAGCTACTCAGGATGCTGAGGCAGGAGAATCGCTTGAACCCGGGAGGCAGAGGTTGTAGTGAGCCGAGATCATGCCACTGCACTCTCCAGCTTAGGTGACAGAGCGAGACTCTGTCTCAAAAAAATAAAATTATATTTGAATTTTGTTTAAATCGCTAACACATACTGGGCATTTAATAACAAAACAAAGGACATGAGATTGTGATCCTTATGAGGGTTTGAGAGGCATTTCACTAGGGTTCAACATACAGCAGTCTGAAACATACTGTAATAATTTAATCCAATGGCTCATCTACAGCACCTAAAAAGATTACAGCAGATTCTCATTATTCAGTGTAGTTACGGTCTAGAAAGTTCCATGAACAAATAAAAAGTTAGGTTTCAGCAAGCTACTGGTCATATTTTTGTAAGCTTACCAACACCTACTTTTGTTGTATGTGTGCTTATTTAATATATATTGTTGGCCAGGCACAGTGGCTAACGCCTGTAATCCCAGCACTTTGGGAAGCCAAGGTGGGCAGATCATTTGAGGTCTGGAGTTCGAGACCAGCCTGGCCAACGTGGTGAAACCCCGTCTCTACTAAAACTACAAAAAAAAAAAAAAAATTAGCCAGGCATGGTGGCGCATGCCTGTAGTCTTAGCTACTTGGGAGGCTAAGGCAGGGGAATCGCTTGAACCCAGGAGGCAGAGGTTGCAGTGAGCCAAGACTGCACCACTGCACTCCAGCCTGAGCAACAGAGTGAGACTGTATCTCAAAAAAAAAAATAATATATAATTAATTACATGAATGAATAAATAAATAATATACATTGTTCATTCATTAACACTGAACTCACAGCCAATGGCACTACAGCACTCACGCCTGAATGGAGTTGATTTAATGCATGTATTTTCTCTGTAAGGCACATCACAGACTTCTTGGACTTGTGAATGCTAAGCAGCACTTCAGCACTATGCTTGGGGGTTAATTTAAATGGCAAAACAACCAACAAACAGTACAAAAATAGGAAAAGCATGGCATTAAATGGACCACAAAAAGGATACCTGACTATTGTATGAGAGCTGAAAAAGAAGGCAGAATATCACCCTGTTCAAACTCAAATTCTTTGACACTCTATGCAAACACATGACTATGAAAGTGCTGTGAGTACTGATTTGGGGGTTACAAAAAATAGTAGGTGAGTTCACAAATACAAAAGCTGAAAACAAGAAGGATCGACTGTATTTTTGTAGACAATCTAATCTCATAGAAGATTTCAATTCAGACAAAAATCATGAGAATTACTGTATTACAAAAGGGCACTAGATAGGGGGAAAAGAGTAAAAATCAGAATTAAAACAAAGGTTCAAAATTCTGCATCAACCATATCCAGTTACACTTTAATATGTTTGTGGCAGACTACATTATTGTTCCCAACTCATCACCCCTCCCTATATCTACAACCTTTCCCCAAGACAATGCAGTTCCTCCTGCTAGAGATCAGGTATATTTATCTATACTATCAATGTGAGCCATGGACAAGGTATGTGCTTTGGCTGACTGAATGTTAGTGGACATGATAGAAGCAATGGCTTAAAATGTACTTCCAGAACTGGAGTTTCCTTGTGATTCTATCACTGTGACAAAAACACATTCTCAGGTAGTCCACTGATCCAAGGGGGAACAAACACACAGAAAACATACCTAGACTCCATCTGCAGCTTGCAGCCTCACCAAGCCAAGAACAGTCAACTCACGGATATGTTAGCAAAAATAAATGTTTTTCGTACCTTAAGCTTTATATAATTATTGACCTATAGTTAACTGATATACAATATACATTAATCTTAAAATATCATTATCCCATTAAAAATATTTACCTTAAAAACTGATCACTTTCTTCCCTCCGTTTTTTTTTTTTTTTTTAAATTAAGAGACAGGGTGTCTCAATGTTGCCCAAGCTGGAGTTCAGTGGCTAGTGGCTATTCACAAGAATGATCATCGCACACTACCTCAAACTCCTGGGATCAAGCAATCCTCCTGCCTCAGGTTTCCAAGTAGCTGGGACTATAAGTGTGTACCACAGCATGTCAGCTCTCTCTCTTCTTCTTGACCTAAAGCCTAGCATAAAATTAGCTAAGTAGAATGTTTCCAAAGATGCCTGCATCAGTATCTCCCATCCCACATAATTTCTGTTTGATTTTGCCATTCACCCATAAAATGGTGGGATCTACCTCCCCTCCTTGCAAATTTGAGCTGGCCCTCTGATCCTGTCTAAGATCTGAAGCCAGATATTAACGTACTTAATTAATTTCCATGTTTGTCCTCTATGCAACCTAGCAATCAAGCAAGAAGTCAAAACCTACTGATTTACTTTGGATGTGTCCCCACCCAAATCTCACCTTGCATTGTAATAATTCCTACGTGTCAAGGGTGGGGCCAGGTGCAGATAACTGAATCATGGGGATGGTTCCCCCCATACTGTTCTCGTGGTAGTGAATAAGTCTCATGAGATCTGATGGTTTTATAAATGGGAGTTCCCCTGCACATGCTCTCTCCTGCCTGCCACTATGTGAGACATGCTTTTGCACCTCCTTGCCTTCCACCATGATTGTGAGGCCTCCCCAGCCATGCAGAACTGTGAGTCAATTCAACCTCTTTCCTTTATAAATTACCCAGTCTCAGGTATGTCTTTACTTGCAGTGTGAGAACAGACTAATACAATAAGTTGATACCAGTAGAGTGGGGTGCTGCTGTAAAGATACCCGAAAATGTGGAAGCAACTTTGGAAATGGGTAACAGGGAGAGGCTGGAACAGGTTGGAAGGCTCAGAAGAGGATAGGAAAATGTGGGAAAGTTTGGAACTTCCTAGAGACTTGTTGAATGGCTTTGACCAAAATGTTCATAGTGATATGGACAATAAGGTCCAGGCGGAGGTGGTCTCAGATAGAGATGAGGAATTTGTTGGGAAATGGAGTGAAGTCACTCTTACTATACAAAGACACTGCAGGCATTGTGCACCTGTATTAGAAACGGGCATAAGATAGGCGGGAAAGAGTGAAAATAAGAATTTTTTTCTAGAGTTGCCTAGAGATCTGTGGAACTTTGAACTTGACAGAGATGATTTAAGGTATCTGACAGAAGAAATTTCTAAGCAGCAAAGCATGCGAGAAGAAGCAGAGCATAAAAGTTCAGAAAATTTGTAGCCTGATGATGCAACAGAAAAGAAAAATCTATTTTCTGAGGAGACTGGGTTGTAGAAATTTGCATAAGTAATGAGGAGCCAAATGTTAATCACCAAGACAATGGGGCAAACGTATCCAGGGCATGTTAGAGACCCTCACAGCAGACCCTCCCATCACAGGCCAGGAGGCTTAGAAGGAAAAATGGTTTTGTGGGTCCAGAAACCCCTGCTGTGTGCAGCCTAGGAACTTGGTGCCCTGCATCCCAGCTGCTCCTGCCATAGGTAAAAGGGGCCAAGGTACACCTCAGGCCATGGCTTCAGAGGGTGCAAGTTCCAAGCCTTTCAGGTTCTAGGTGGTGTTAAGCCAGCAGATGCTCCAAAGTCAAGAATTAAGGTTCATGAACCTCCGCCTAGATTTCAGAAGATGTATGAAAATGCCTGGAAATCCAGGCAAAAGTTTGCTGCGGGGGGGAGGGGGGGCCCTCATGGATAACCTCTGGTAGGGCAGTGTCAAAGGGAAATATGGGGTTGGAGCCCCCACACAGAGTTCCCACTGGGGTACTGCCAAGCAGAGCTGTGAGAAAAGGGCCACCATCCTCCAGACCCCAAAATGGGAGATCCACTGACAGCTTGCACTGTGTGCCTGGAAAAGCTGCAGACACTCAATGCAGCCAGAAGGGGGGCTGTACCCTGCAAAGCCACAGGGGCGGGGCTGCCCAAGACCCTGGGAACCCACTTCTTGCATCACCTAGATGTGACACATGGAGTCAAAGGAGGTCATTTTGGAGCTTTAAGATTTGCCTGCTGGGTTTTGGATTTGCATGGGGCCTGTAGCTCTTTTGCTTTGGCCAATTTCTCCCATTTGAAACGAGTGTATTTACCCAATGCCTGTATCCCTGTGTATCTAGAAAATAACTTGCTTTTGATTTTACAGGCTCATAGGTGGAAGGGACTTGCCTTGTCTCAGATGAGACTTTGGACTATGGAATTTTGAGTTAATGCTGAAATAAGAGTTTGGGGGACTTTGTGGAAGGCATGATTGCTTTTGAAATGTGAGGACATGAGATTTGGGAGGGGCTGGGGAAGAATTATATGGTTTGGCTCTGTCCCCACCCAAATCTCATCTGGAATTGTAACAATTCCCATGTGTCAAGGGTGGGGCCAGGTGGAGATAATTGAATCATGGAGGCAGTTTCCCCCATGCTGTTCTCATGGTAGTGAATAAGTCTCATGAGATCTGATGGTTTTATCAATGGGAGTTCCCCTGCACATGCTCTCTCCTGCCCACCATGTCTGACTAAATTTTGTATTTTTACTAGAGACGGGGTTTCACTATGTTGGCCAGGCTGGTCTCCAACTCCTGATCTCGTGATCCGTCCACCCCGACCTCCCAAAGTGCTAGGATTATAGGCATAAGCCACCACACCCAGCCTCTTTTTTTTCTTTTTCTTTTTTTTATCTGGAGACTGAGTTTTGCACTTGTTGCCCAGGCTGGAGTGCAATGGTGCGATCTCAGCTCACTGCAGTCTCCACCTCAGCAGGAGAGCAGGAATCTTCAGTGATCCACGGGCAGATCTGCAGCCACTGTGGGCACCTGCTCCTCCCACGACCTTTGT
The DNA here is from genome assembly GCF_000001405.40 of Homo sapiens. Lineage (NCBI taxonomy): Eukaryota > Metazoa > Chordata > Mammalia > Primates > Hominidae > Homo > Homo sapiens. The sequence continues at coordinate 99,526,130 of NC_000005.10, read as the reverse complement.
GCCCGTGTCTCTCCCTCCAGTACCTATTGCACGACACCCCACGTCCGCCTCCTGCCATTGCCAGCAAGTGCCTTGTGCGGGTACCTGGCTGTGCTTATTAATCCATTATGGTCGCTCTGTCACTGGTGCCATTATGTGCTCACGTGCCCACTCCCTCAGGTTTAGAAGGCGCGTTGCCCGGCAACAGAAGAGTCTGCTGGCTTAGCCTTTGGCCGAGTTGGCAGCTGGATGAGGACGCTCAGAGCCCAGCTCTCGAGAGTTCAAGCATCCGACGGTTCCCCACTGCTCCCAGGAGCGGTTACCTGGGCACTCTGTGCCCCTCATTCCTGTTTGGGCCAAGGCTGAGGACCTGCGAGTAGGGCTCAGTTGCCTGGAGCCCCTTCAACCCATCCCCCAGTTCACTTTGCTTGTGGGATCTCCCCGTTGCTCCTGCCCCTGGACTGAGTGGCAGGTCATCCTACAAGCACCCAGACACTCGACATCAGTGGTGTCAAGACAACTCCAAGAAGGTTTTCCGTGATCCTGCAAGACCTGTGTTCCATCCTGGTGATTCTGCCTTCAATTTCACTGCACAGGTACCATAGCAAGTCAGTGCTGTGTGCTCCGAGTTCCAGGGCATCCTCCAGCTCAGCCACTACACTGAGCACAAGGACTCTGTGGGGCCCCAGGAGCAGGTAGTCACCCCATTGGGGTTCACAACACCCGGCTGTCCCCAGACTTGTGTCCAGGGAAGATAGTGTTGAGGGCCCTCAAGGAGAGCGGGGCAGGGATGCCTGAGCAGGACAAGGACCCTAGAGTCCAAGAGAATCCTGATGATCAGAGAAGGGTCCCCAAGGTCACCGGGGATGCACGGTCTGCATTTCGGCCCCTGCGGGACAATGGAGTCCTCTCTCCCTTTGTGCCCAGGCCCGGGCCTCTGCAGACATACCTCCATGCCCAGAGGTCAGAAATCAGATATAACCAGACATCCCAGAATACCTGGACGAGCTCGTGCACCAACCAAAATGCCATCTCCAGCTCCTATAGCTCCGTGGGAGGCTTGCTGGGGCTAAAGTGGAGGAGGGGGCCAGCAGGGCAGGAGAGCGGGGCAGGGATGCCTGAGCAGGACGAGGACCCTAGAGTCCAAGAAAATCCTGATGATCAGAGAACGGTCCCCGAGGTCACCAGGGATGCATGGTCTGCATTTCGGCCCCTGCGGGACAATGGAGGCCTCTCTCCCTTTGTGCCCAGGCCCGGGCCTCTGCAGACAGAACTGAATGCCCAGAGCTCAGAAATCAGATATAACCAGACATCCCAGACCTCCTGGGCGAGCTCGTGCACCAAACGAAATGCCATCTCCAGCTCCTACAGCTCCACGGGAGACTTGCCGGGGCTAAAGCAGAGGAGGGGGCCAGCCTCATCCCACTGCCAGCTGACCCTCAGTTACTCAATGACAGTGAGTGAGGACAGGCTTCAGGCTGTCTCTTTGGGTCAAACACGGTGTGAACAGGCGGCAGATACAGCACCAGGGCAGACACTCGCCCCAAGGGGTGGCTCCCCCAGATCTCAGGCCTCTAGGCCCCATAGACACAAGATTCCCCTGCTGCCACGCAGGCGAGGGGAGCCTTTGATGCTGCCACCTCCCTTAGAGCGGGGGTACCGGGTCACTGATGAAGACCTGCACCTGGAAAAAGAGGCGGCATTACACCGGATCAACAGTGCACTGCAGGTTGAGGACAAGGCCATCTCGGATTGCAGACCCTCACGGCCTTCCCACACTTTCTCCTCACTTGCAACAGGGGCTTCTGGTGGGTCTCCCGTTTCTAAAGCACCCACTATGGATGCACAGCAGGACAGACCCAAGTCCCAAGACTGCCTGGGCCTAGTGGCCCCCCTAGCATCTGCTGCACAGGTCCCCTCCACAGCTCCTGTGTCTGGGAAGAAGCACAGACCACCAGGACCCCTGTTCTCCTCCTCAGATCCCCTTCCTGCCACATCTTCCCACTCCCGGGACTCAGCCCAGTACACCTCGCTGATTCCTGCCCCCTTCACAGCTGCAAGCATGGATGCCGGCATGAGAAGAACAAGGCCTGGCACGTCGGCTCCTGCAGCTGCCGCAGCAGCCCCTCCCCCCTCCACATTGAACCCCATGTTGGGGTTACTACTCAATGCAATGGATGCAGGCCCCTCATATTTCTGGGCCTCAGCCACAGCTGCAGCAGGTGCCCAGAGGTCAGAAGTGAGATATAACCAGAGATCCCAGACCTCCCGGACCAGATCGTGCACCAAACGAAATGCCAGCTCGAGCTCCTACAGCTCTACGGAAGGCCTCCCGGAACTAAAGCGGAGGAGGGGACCAGCCTCATCCCACTGCCAGCTGGCCCTCAGTTCCTCAAACACAGTGAGTGAGGACGGACCTCAGGCTGTCTCTTCGGGTCACAGCCACTGTGAAAACAACGCAGATACAGCACCAGGGCAGACACTCGCCCCCACGGGTGGCTCCCCCAGATCCCAGGCCTCTAGGCCCTGCATCAACAGTGCACTGCAGGTTGAGGACAAGGCCATCTCGCACTGCAGACCCTCATGGCCTTCCCACACTTTGTCCTCACTTGCAACAGGGGCTTCTGGTGGGTCTAGCGTTTCTAAAGCACCCACTATGGATGCACAGCAGGACAGACCCAAGTCCCAAGACTGCCTGGGCCTAGTGGCCCCCCTAGCATCTGCTGCACAGGTCCCCTCTACAGCTCCCGTGTCTGGGAAGAAGCACAGACCACCAGGACCCCTGTTCTCCTCCTCAGATCCCCTTCCTGCCACCTCTTCCCACTCCCGGGACTCAGCCCAGGTCACCTCGCTGATTCCTGCCCCCTTTACAGCTGCAAGCATGGATGCCGGCATGAGAAGAAGGAGGCCTAGAACGTCGGCTCCTGCAGCTGCCGCAGCAGCCCCTCCCCCCTCCACATTGAACCCCATGTTGGGGTTACTACTCAATGCAATGGATGCAGGCCCCTCATATTTCTGGGCCTCAGCCACAGCTGCAGCAGGTGCCCAGAGGTCAGAAGTGAGATATAACCAGAGATCCCAGACCTCCCGGACCAGATCGTGCACCAAACGAAATGCCAGCTCGAGCTCCTACAGCTCTACGGAAGGCCTCCCGGAACTAAAGCGGAGGAGGGGGCCAGCCTCATCCCACTGCCAGCTGGCCCTCAGTTCCTCAAACACAGTGAGTGAGGATGGACCTCAGGCTGTCTCTTCGGGTCACAGCCACTGTGAAAACAACGCAGATACAGCACCAGGGCAGACACTCGCCCCCAGGGGTGGCTCCCCCAGATCCCAGGCCTCTAGGCCCCGCATCAACAGTGCACTGCAGGTTGAGGACAAGGCCATCTGGCACTGCAGACACTCACGGCCTTCCCACACTTTGTCCTCACTTGCAACAGGGGCTTCTGGTGGGTCTAGCGTTTCTAAAGCACCCACTATGGATGCACAGCAGGACAGACCCAAGTCCCAAGACTGCCTGGGCCTAGTGGCCCCCCTAGCATCTGCTGCACAGGTCCCCTCTACAGCTCCCGTGTCTGGGAAGAAGCACAGACCACCAGGACCCCTGTTCTCCTCCTCAGATCCCCTTCCTGCCACATATTCCCACTCCCGGGACTCAGCCCAGGTCACCTCGCTGATTCCTGCCCCCTTCACAGCTGCAAGCATGGATGCCGGCATGAGAATGAATGCCGGCATGCGAAGAATGTTTTGTGTTTGAAATTGTTTGAGGGGTTTGGGTTTATGTTTGTTGGTTTTTTTTTTTTTTTTTTTTTTTTTTGCTTACATGGGCATCCTTCAGCTTTTAATAATCTGAAAAATTCTATTTACCCATTGTCAATGTGTATAAATTAATCTGAGTGAATTTTATACAATAAAAGGCGAACTTTTATGCATGAAACAATAATTTACAAAAAATGTACCAGAAGAAGTATGTTCATTACAAATATAGGAAACATAAATATTACCAAATATTGGCAAGCACTAAAATGTTCAGAAATATAAGTCTATTACAGTTATAGCTCTCTCAAGCAAAAAAATAGCAGAGAAAAACTTAGTTTACCTTAGGGGCTATTTATTGACTTAGAGATTTGCTAAAAGGTCAAATGGGGTCACACAGAATACTAAGAGCTGTTCACCCAGACCTCACTAAGAACTCTTCTTCATTCAGTAGCTATATAGTAATATGACAACTGCTCCTACCACCCAGAGAGGAACTACAGCAACTACTCTTTAGCACCTGTTGCTCCTAACTCTGCTTTGCAATTATATGACTCAAGCATTCTGGCTCCGTTAACTATTACTTCTGTTACTCCCAACTGAATCCCCTCTAACCCTCCCACTCTGCCTATTTCAGCTTTCTGCTGCCTCATGACTTCAATTCCATCAGAGTTATGCATTGTTTCCTCTGTACATCTTTGCTCTGCTTCCATTGCTAATTCCCTAGTAAAGTGTTGTATACTCAAAGTTCCAAAGAAACAGAATATCCAAGACATCACCAATCGTCCAAAACACAGTGTAGGAGGCCACAGTTAAGAGAAGCAAGACCATTAGCTCTTTTTATAGGCTGGAGAACAACAGGATTCTTTGGTCCTGTATCAGCAGGATGCTTTTTGGGTAGATCCTACTTCCACCCTACTATCGGGTAGATCCTACTGCCACCCTAGCTATGCGCACATGTCAGAGTCCCATGTAATAAAGGAGACAAAAGGAAACCACCACGAGTATAAACTAAGAAAAGTACTCCAAGGTTTCTAAGAATGGAGCTGTATAACTCACTTTGCCCCATTTGTTACTTCTCCACGGTACTTACCACCGCCTATTATATATATTTTGTTTATAGTCAGTCTTCCCTCATTAGAATGAAAGTTCCGTGAGGATAGGACTATACAGTCAGCCCTCAGTATCCATGGGGGACTAGTTTCAGGATCTCCTGAGGATAACATAGGATACTCAAGTCCCTGATATAAAATGACATAGTATTTGCAGATCACCTTTACACATCCTCCCATATACTTCATATCAACTCTAGATCACTCATAATATTCAATGTAAATGTTATGCAAATAGTTATTGTACTATATTGTGTAAGGAATAAGGACAAGAAAAAAGTCTGTACATGTTCAGTACAGACGCAATTTTTTTTCCCAATATTTCCAATCCTTGGTTGGCTTAATAAACAGATGTAGAACCCAGGAATAAGTTCTGGTGTCCTATTGCATAGTAGGATGAGTATAGTTAACAATAACATATTATATATTTGAAAATAGCCAGAAGAGTAGATTTTGAATTTTCTCCCTACAGAAAAATCATTATGCAAATTACCCTGATTTGATCATTACACATTGAGTACATGTATTAAAACATCACATTGTACCCCATATATATGTACAAGTATGTGTCAATAAAAATTTAATGTCAATATGTGAAATAAAATGAAAAAATAAAAATTTTTAAAGCTGTAATTATCTCCATCTGGTAGGAATACATATAATCTGAAATAAAAAAATATATTTGTAATTGTTAGGACAAAATAGATTATAGATTATTTTAAGTTTGCAACTTATAAATTACAAAATTCTCACAGAACCTGAAAAATTATTGGTATTGTTAAATATTTTAAAAGCTGTCCTTGGAGAGAAAGAAACCTATCAGATTTACATCAACAAGTGCAATATATCAGCCTATTACCATCTGCTACAGACTGCATGTTTGTGTTCCCTCAAAATTCATATGATAGGCCGGGCGCGGTGGCTCATGCCTGCAATCCCAGCACTTTGGGAGGCCGAGGCGGGTGGATCACCACGTCAGGAGATCGAGATCATCCTGGCTAACATGGTAAAACCCCATCTCTACTAAAAATACAAAAAATTAGCCGGGCGCAGCGGTGGGCGCCTTAGTCCCAACTACTGAGGAGGCTGACACAGGAGAATGGCGTGAACCCAGGAAGCGGAGCTTGTAGAGAGCCGAGATTGTGCCACTGCACTCCAGCCTGGGTGACAGACAGAGCGAGACTCTGTCTTAAAAAAAAAAAAAAATTCATATGATAAAGCCCTAACCCCCAAGGTGAGGATATTGGGAGGCGTGGCCTTTAGGAGAGAATTAGGTTTAGATGAGGTCATGAGAATAGAGCCCCTATAGTGGCATTACTTCCTTTATAAGAAGAGACACTAGAGCTGCTTTTCTCCCTACCATGTGAGGATACTGAGAGAAGATGGCCATTTCCAATCTAGGAAGGAGGCCCTCTTTAAGAAACGTAATTTGCCAACACTTTGATCTTGCACTTCCAGCCTCCAGAACTGTGAGAAATACCTCTTCTTTTTTTTTTTTTTTTTTTTTTGAGACAGAGTCTCATTCTGTCATCCAGGCTGGAGTACAGTGGTGCGATCATGGCTCACTGCAACCTCCACCTCCCAGGTTCAAGCAATTCTCCCACCTCAGCCTCCCAAGTAGCTCAGACTACAGGCGTGCACCACCATGCCCAGCTAATTTTTGTAGAGACAAGGTTTTGCCATGCTGCCCAGGCTAGTCTCAAACTCCTGAGCTCAAGTTATCCACCTGCCTCGGCCTCCCAAAGTGTTAGGAATACAGGCATAAGCCACCATGCCTGGTCAAAATATCTACTGATTAAGCTACCTAATTTGTGGTATTCTGTTTTAGCAGCTGAAGCAGACTAAGATACCATCCTATAAGCTACAGACCAGCACTATCCAATAGAACTTTATATGACGAGGAAATGTTTTATATCTGTGCTATCCATTATGTTAGCCACTAGCCACAGGTATCCATCAAGTATTTGAAATATGGCTAGTGCAACTAAAGAACTTAATTTTTATTTTTTTTTATTTTTTTTTATTTTTTTTTATTTTTTTTTGAGAAGGAGTCTCGCTCTGTCCCCCAGGCTGGAGTGCAGTGGCGCCATCTCGGCTCACTGCAAACTCTGCCTCCCAGGTTCAAGCCATTCTCCTGCCTCAGCCTCCTGAGTAGCTGGGACTGCAGGTGCCCGCCACCACGCCCAGCTAATTTTTTGTATTTTTAATAGAGATGGGGTTTCACCATCTTATTAAGGATGGTCTCGACCTCCTGACCTCATGATCTGCCCGCCTCGGCCTCCCAAAGTGCTGGGATTACAGGCGTGAGCCACCGCGCCCGGCCAATTTTTATTTCATCTTATTTAAATAACCCCATGTGGCCAGTGGCTACTGTATTGAACACTACAGCTGTAGACAATATGAAATAAATATAAAGCAGTCTCCACTTTGGAAAAACAGAAGACTCTTACTGCCTCATAATATAGATGAAAAATGAAATACTAAGATAAGTAAAATGTTCTTTAAAGAACAAAAACAAAAGAAAACCTAATGAAAGCTATAAAAGTCCATTGGATAATAATGCTACCAGTACTAAGGAAGTACAGCCCCTAAAAGTGACTTGCAGTCACAAATATAAAAACGACTATTCAAGTGAACTCCTAAGGTAAAAATTTGTTATTCACCATGCTCCAAAATGGTCTGTAACATTCTTCAGAGATGGCATGGTAAAGTACGATACAAGGGTAATATTAACAGTATGCTGTCACAGGTGCCATTCTCTTAAAAAAGAAATCCCAAAATAAATATAAATGGAAAGCAAATAATTAAACACACTAAATACAGATTATTACAAAAATCCATAAGGAATTCTGGTGCAGAAAGAACTTCATAATCAAAATCCCAAATATAAAATTTATCTATCAAAAGTGAAAATGCTGACATACAGTTTCTTGCAAAAAAAAAAAGTTTAGAAATTTTTTTAATATAAATAAATAAGAACATCTTTTTAAACAAAATCTTAGGCTGTTGAGTCCCGTTTATTTTCTACACCTCTAATTCCAAAGCTGAGAAACAAACGGATACTTCAGAAAAAAAAAATAACTCATGACAATTTGTCTTTTGGACACAGAATATAAAGGAAAAATAAAATTTATGTCTAACTGGCCAGACCTCAATTGAATTTTTCATCCTAGCTGGTTCCTAAATCCAAATCAGATACTTATCAATAAAACTGTTTTTCTGCACAGCTACTACTAGCTAGAAACTGCTTCTCCAAATTTATACTGACTATTTCTTCTAAAATGTTGAAATTCTAGCTCATAGTTTTTAAAAAACCATTCTTAATGTACTGATTCCAGAGTACTAATTCCAATGGCCAAGAAAATTCAAAAAGATTTGGAGTGGTCTCTGAGATTAGAATGTGTGACAATGTGAAGCATTTCACTACAACGTCCAAGATTAAAGTGTCAAAGCAGATGAGGAAATGAAGCTCCCAAAACAGATGCCCATGAGAAAGGAGCCCAGAAAAGCAAAAGGGGCCACAGCCCAGGACCTTACAATAAAGAAAAGTGGCTCTGGCCCCATGGTAGCCTTCCTGAAACACTGGGAAAGAATGAAGTCCTTAGCAAAATTCTGACCAGGATCGCAAATTTAAATGTAAGCTTGTAAGGAAAACACCTATGGACTTGGGTTTAAATTTGTCCATCTAAGATATAAAATTACAAGTTTGACCAAATGTGCCAGTTGTCCACTTATTGTCTCTCAGCTCTGAATTCATCCTTTCCTGTCTGCTCTGCAAAAATGAACTTGGACCCTTTAAACATTTTTCCTTTGCTAGTTGGCATGATGTTAGATCGACATTGTAAGAGGAGATTTTCCTCTTCTTTCCAAGAGTCTTGTGTGCTCCTCTTGGCAGGCTTCTGTACTGCAACACAGCTTCTCCAGTGTCCAGATCCAGAACCCGTGCAGTTTGCTCCATTGTCAGGCTCCTGAAGTGCACAGCAGTCAGCAGCACCCAGTATCTTCCACCAGTACCTCCACAAGGCAGTATTATAGCAGAGTGATTCTGATGAGACAGATTTCTACCACAGCAACTTCTCTTCATTCAGTGAGCCACAGCCATGCCCCCTCAAACAGGGTCTGGATCTTAATCCCAGAGGCCCTGGATGTTCTATCTCAACCCCAGGGGTTGATGCTCCTTTTATCTGTTATTCTTATATTCCTTAGAGTTCTCTTCACTTTTTACTAGCCAATCCTCATTGCTCCAAAACCCTGTTATAGCTAGCAGTTCTTCGTATTAATCTTTCCTTGTTCAAATTACATGTGATTTCTCTATTCTAATCAAACACTAACTGATAGATCAAATTTCAGGCAATTAATCAAACTGAGAAAATTATAGGGCATTATGTCTAATTTGTTATTTTATGTATTAGCAAACACATAAGATCTGATAATCAGAAAGTTCAGAGCGCTAAACCAAAGTCTCTAAAGAATGGAAGGAATCAGTTCACAGGATATATGCTTGTTAATGCTACTCCCATTTGGGGGAAGTGTAATTTTCTCCAGTAACCAGGAAAAATAAGAGATCACTTTGTTTCTTCTGATGATTTATTTTTATTTTAAAAGGGAAATGAAAATCTAAAAAATATAAAAGTTTAAGAAGACAAAGTAGAAACAGTCAATGGCTCCATTTCTCTGGCAAACTAATCAACCAAACTGTTCTATCTACATTTGACGGGAAACCCAAAATTTCAGTGATCCCACACTAATGTTCACATTGTTTTTCTGCTATATAGGAACACTTTTAACATGTTCCCTCTGTCTCACTGTTTGTCATGTACTATCTGTAGACTACTTTGCCAACATTAAAATGAAATGTTCAGCTTCAAGCTCATCATTCCTGTCTCACTTCACTCCGAAATCTGCTAGCCACAGAGTTAAAAGGACAGGATTAAGAGTCATTAGACACAGTACTAAGGCGAATTAAAGGGCCTGTTCAAGGGGCATAACATCTGCTCCTCAAATTCCTGCCTAAACAATGAAGATTCCGATCAGAGAGAAGAGAGGGAAAGCCAATCTAACCAGTAAACCGGAGTCATGAGGAAGTGAATGCTCTCTCAGGGAGTAACTCTGACACCAGAGGAAGGCTTAGTGACATTGTACAATTGTTTCTGTGAAGTCATTCATGGGGCAAGTGGGAGTATATGAGTAGAAGTGGAAGGGAGTGGGAAGGTGAAGATTGAGGATCCTTTTAAGTAGTTTTTGCTCAGCTAGCAAAACAAGCTGGGACATGCAAGACAGATAAACACAGCTGTCTGGGGCTGTCACTTGGGGCTCAGGAGCCAAGGTGTCCTGCTGTAGTGAAAAGTGCACCGGAATGTGAGTCAGGAGTTCAGGGATCCAAGTCCTCATTCTGCTGCTAACTAGCTGCGTGATGATGAGCAAGTCCACTGGCTTCACTAGACTCAGTCTCTTTTTTTTTTTTTTTTCGATACAGAGTCTCGCTCTGTCACCCAGGCTGGAGTGCAGTGGCACGATCTCAGCTCACTGCAACCACCACCTCCTGGGTTCAAGCAATTCTCCTGCTTCAGCCTCCTAAGTAGCTGGGATTACAGGCGCGTGCCACCACGCTGGGCTAATTTTTGTATTTTTAGTAGAGACGGGGTTTCGCCATGTTGGTCAGGCTGGTCTCAAACTCCTGACCTCGTGTTCCGCCCACCTTGGCCTCCCAAAGTGCTGGGATTACAGGCATGAGCCACCACGCCCGGCCTCAGTCTCCTTATTTCATGGGAAATGAGGAGACAAGACTAGATGGCAGCACTATACAGAGATGCTCCTGAACCCACGGAGTTCATGTACTAGTTAATATAACTTTGCTGAGTCCTGGTTTCCTCCACTGAAAAAAACATGAGAAATAATACTTTTTATAAAATTGGGTGAGGATTAAAAATAATATACATAAAGACACCTAGTACAGTAACTGAAACAAGTAATTATTATTATTACTACTTTATTTCCAATGCTAAGATTATTTGAGGGGTATAAAATCTTGGTAGCCAAATGCAATGTTATTTCAAATGCACTACAAGTTAGTATATGTTTAGTACATGTCTTAATTATTGCTAACCAAAATACTCAAGACTTACAAATTAAGGACTTGGGCCGGGCGCGGTGGCTCACGCCTGTAATCCTAACACTTTGGGAGGCTGAGGCAGGCGGATCACGAGGTCAGGAGATCGAGACCATCCTGGCTAACACGGTGAAACCCCGTCTCTACTGAAAATACAAAAAATTAGCCAGGCGTCATGGCAGGCGCCTGTAGTCCCAGCTACTCGGGAGGCTGAGCCAGGAGAATGGCATGAATCCGGGAGGTGGAGCTTGCAGTGAGCCAAGATCACGCCACCGCACTACAGCCTGGGTGAATGAGTGAGACTCCATCTCAAAAAATTAATTAATTAATTAATTAATTAATTAAGGACTTGTAAATGTCACCCAAAAATGTAAAAATATATTTTGTCAATATAAGGTTGATTCTGCAGAGGGTGCAAAAAAAGAATAGAAATAAGGAATCCTTAAGAATTTGGAAATAGGAAATATAGAAGACGTCTAAGGAAAAAGAGCTGAGGACTTCATCAGACTTCCCTACTCCAAATGCCAAAAGAAATAACCTAGAAAAATATAAAATCAGGATAAATGAAAGGACTACTGAAAACTGGAAATTATCCAGAAATTTCTAGTAGGAAAAGATCAGAATGATTAGGAAAGCACCACCCAGAAAGAGTGCAACAGCCTCATATGAAAGTACCCAGAAACCATGAAGTCCATGGGCGGTTCATTCTCAAAGCAGCAAGGATGCCCTTACGGAAGCAGTTGTCACAAAAATTAGGCAGCAGGCACAAAAAACAATGTGGAAGAGATAATATAGGGTTAATAAAACAAAGGCATATAGTCAAAAACCTACTATCTTTCCTAAAACTACAGCATACGGGCCGGGAGCAGTGGCTCACGCCTGTAATCCCAGCACTTTGGGAGGCTGAGGCGGGCAGATCATGAGGTCAGAAGATCAAGACCATCCTGGCTAACACCGTGAAACCCCGTCTCTACTAAAAATACAAAAAATTAGCCAGGTGTGGTGGCAGGCACCTGTAGTCCCAGCTCCTCGGGTGGCTGAGGCAGGAGAATGGCGTGAACCCAGGAGGCAGAGCTTGCAGTGAGCGGAGATGGCGCCACTGCACTCCAGCCTGGGCAACAGAGTGAGACTCTGTCTCACTCTGTTGCACAGTTTACAACAACAAAACTATAGCATCCATCACATAGAGGAGAAACTCCCCAACACACATATAAGGATTACTCTCAGCCCCAGCTCCCTCAAACTTCCTAAGATCACAGACACATTCCACTGGCCACAAGCAGTGAGGTTAAGAAGGTAAGGAGATACAAGAAGAATCTTTTCAGCCTGTATCTCACCAGGCAGAGAGCGTAAATAAGAAGAGCAAAATAATAAGCGGTTGTGAAGAGCTTTTACAGTAGGGTCAGCAAACTTTATGTGAAGGATCAGATAAATATTTGAGGCTTTGCAAGCCATATATGATCTCTGTATCATATTCTTCTTCATTATTCTGGGGTTTGTTTCACAACCCTTTAAAACTGTAAAAAATCATTCTTAGTTCAAGTGTCGTACAAAAACAAGCCATGGACTAGAGTTCAGCCACTGGTCACACTCTGTACTGTTCTAAGATATAAAAGACAAAGAATATAGCTGTGGAATTTTTTTAAAGGAAAAAGAACATATTATCAGACTGTTATTTTGTGCTGAAAAAAAATTCAAGAAAACGTCTCATCATTACATATAATGCTATAATAAATAAACTTGTTCCTGACCATTTCCACATATGTGGATATATCTGTCAGAGGAATTCCTAAAAGTGGATTACTTGTTCAGAGGGTATATGCATTTGTAATTTGGAAGAGAATGCCAAATTGCCATCTATGAGACAGTGCCAATTTACACTCCCACCATGCCTGATAGTATTTGTTTCTCCAAATCTTGCCATCATAGTTTACAGTTTACATAAGAATAAGATATACTGGCTGGGTGCGGTGGCTCACACCTGTAATCCCAGCACTTTGGGAGGCCAAGGCGGGTGGATCACTTGAGGTCAGGAGTTGGAGACCAGCCTGGCCAGTGTGGTGAAACCCTATCTCTACTAAAAATCCAAATATTAGCCAGGCACGGTGGTGCATGCCTGAATTCCCAGCTACTTGGGAGGTTGAGGCATGAGAATCGCTTGAACCCAGGAGGTGGAGGTTGTAGTGAGCCAAGATTGCGCCACCGCACTCCAGCTGAGGCGACAGAGCAAGATTCTGTCTCAAAAAAAAAAAGAAAGACATTATCAAATTGTTATGCGGAAAAAAAAGTCTGGTCATTTACACCCCCACCTTAGCCTTCTCACATTGGATAGTATATGTTCTCTTCACTTTTGCCAATCTTACAGGTAATATATAGTACCTCACTGGCACTTTAATTTTTCCTTCTTTATTAATGAAGCTGAATATCTTTGTTTATTGACTATTTGTATTTCTTCTGCTGTTACCTATTAATTCATTTCCTTTGGCTAGTTTTAGTTTTCAAATATCCCTTTCTTTATTTACAGAAACTGTATTATGGATAGTAGCCCATTGCTTTCCATCTGTGTTACAATGTTTTGTTTATAATTTGTCTTTTAATTTTGTTTTTGATGTCCTTTGTTTTCTGAAGTGTAAAATATCTTTTTAAATTGTAAAAGTAATTCATGCTGTTTTGTTATGTCATATAAAAATATAAAATGAAAGTTCTCCAATACCCCCACATAATACACTTCCATTTTTAGGACATAACCTCTCAAACTTTCCCTAGTAACTAAAAAACACAAATACATAAATTATATATTACAAAAGTGGAATTTTTTTGGAAACTACTTTTTCTTTTTAAAAAATATTTATGGAACTCTTTCTATCTAAGCAACAGACTGGAATATCTGTGACACACATATCTTATAAAGAACTTTATCAACCAATCCAAGAAAAGAACCCAGTTTTTAAAATGGGCAAAAGTTTTTGAACAGTTGCTTCATCAAAGAAGACATATAAGCTCAATATCACTAATCATCAGGGAAATTCAAATTAAAACCCAATAACATATCACTACACACCCAACTGAATGGCTAAAATTTAACATATTGACAATACCAAGCGTAGGTAAGGATATGAAGTAACTACAACTCTTACACATTGCTGCTAAGAAAGCAAACTGATACGGCATTTTTAAAAAGTTGGGCAGTTTCCTATAAAGTTAATACTCACATATCATCTGACAAAGCAATTCACACTTAGGTATTGACCCAGGGAAATAAAAACACCTGTCTATAAAAATGACCTCTACAGTATGGAGTATTTATAGAAGCTTTATTCCTTATACCTAAAAACTGGAAATAAGCCAAATGTCTATCAACTGGTAAAGAGATAAACAAACTGTATGTAATATAGTCATACAAAAGAGTACTACACAGCTATAAAAGGGAACAAAACTACTGATAGAGGCAAAATCAGATCAGTGGTTACCTGGGGGTCAGAAGGAGGGACTGACTGCAAAGGGGCTAAAGGGAACTTTGGAGGATAATCATAGTGTATGACTATGACTGTATGCATTTCTCAAAATTCATAGAACTGTGCAAGTAAAAAGAATAAATTTTACTAAATGTAAATTATACCTGAATAAATGTGACTTTTAAAAAGTTCATTAAAAGAGTAGAAAATTAGTAAAGTGAATTGGCTTAAGAAGTTTTCACAAATTGTGGCAAAAAAAAAAAAAAAAAAGGATAAAGAGAACTGGACCAGAGAGAGAAAAAGGGAAATGGAGAACAGATAACAGAGAGCCAAAGCTAAATAGCCTATACTCCCAGAAAACAAATCAGGGTCAGGTGCGATGGCTCACACCTGTAATCTCAACACTTTGGGAGGCCAAGGCAGGAGGATCACCTGAGGTCAGTTCAAGACCAGCCTGGCCAACATGGTGAAACCCCGTCTCTACTAAAAATACAAAAATTAGCCGGGCATGGTGGCGTGCCTTAATCCCAGCTCCTCAGCAGGCTTAGGCAGGAGAATCGCTTGAACCTGGGAGGCAGAGGTTGCAGCGAACCAAGATCGTGCTACTGCACTCCAGCCTGGGCAACAGAGCTAGACTCTATCACAAAAAAAAAAAAAAAAAAAAAAAGAAAGAAATCAGGACAGGTGATAGTCTTAAACAGTAGTCTGATTTTTCAGAGGTAAAATCCAATGTTACAATACTAAAAACTCAGAAATGGGAAGTAATACTTGAAAGACATGAGAGATATCAACTTAAGAATCTGTGCACTGATATTCCTTCATATTAAATAAATACTAGGTGAGTTATTATCTACTGAATGCTTTACTAGGTGCCAGGCACTGTGCCATGCACTTTATAATATATACATTATTTCATTTAATCATCAATCAGAACACCAAAAAACTGGTAGTATTAATTCTATTTTACAGGCAAGGAAACTAAGGGTCAAAGTGATTAAATGACATGCCTAAAGCCATACAGCAAATGAACAAGCCAAGACATAATTCAAATTCAGATTTTCATGAGTCAGAATCCATGCTCACATTCCATTATGCACATTAAGTCTATAGTTATACTTAGTTGCAGAATTAAATTTTACATCAACTAATATGCTATAAAAAAGAAAGAGGAGGAAAAATACTTCAGTGAAAATCTAGGACAGTAATCTCCCCCTCATTCCACTAAAACTGATAGTTATGGCACAAGCTCAGCTAAATTAGCAGAGAAGACAGTGTATAACACTCAATGACTACAGCATTGACTCATCCATTCTGATTTCCAGTAACAGAAATTTTTAAATTTCAGAATCTAGGATCGACTCAGAAATGCAAAACAGTAGGTATCTGTTTTTTTTTTATTTATTTGAACTCTGAAACTCTTTAATCAAGTAACTGTTCATACATAGCAAGAACTATAAATACCATGTGAATAGATGGAAATTTCTCAGTGGCAATCACTTTTAATATAAAATGAATGGAAATCATAAGATGCACTAAAACTCACTATTCAATTATCTTCAGAATACATATTTTTATTTTTTTAAAAAAAGCTAAACATATCAGCCTTAAGCCTGTAGCTCAAGGTGTCACTTACAGTGCAGAGCCAGTGATTTTAAAAACTGTTCCTTACTTGCCCTGAACTGATAGGGTTTAAGCCAAGGATTTCAGATCTTCCAGAAAAAGAAATCCTTATGCTTCCTTTCTTTTCCAAAAGGTGGGTACACCTTGCTGAAAATAGCCGTCTGCTCTATTTCTCAACAGAAAACTACTGAAAAAAAATATGAAACACTATTATTGTATGACTTATTTAATGAATAATAAGTTCCATGTATATCCCAAACACTGTTTTAGGTGATGGAATAGAAGTAAACAAATGTGAAAAACACATCATTTCTGATTGTTATAAGTGCTACAAAAGAAATAAATCAGGGTAATGGGTAGAGTGGGTGGTAGTGGAGAGGTGGGAGAGGAGCTACTTTTGACAGTATGGTGAGGAAAGGTCTCTTTGAGGAGCTGACATCTGAGCTGAGACATGACTCAAAAGAAGGTCACTGGATCTTAATAAGATAAAATTTTAAAATTATGTAACTTGATGACAGTTACAGAGGGAAGCAAAAACCAGGAAATTAAGTAAAAGGCTATTACAGACAGTTTACATAATTTTACCATGAAAATGTCAAAGAGAAGGTGTTGGGAACAGGCCCCCCAAAATCTGGCCATAAACTAGCCCCAAAACTGGCCATAAACAAATCTCTGCAGCACTGTGACATGTTCCTGATGGCCATAATGCCCATGCTGGAAGGTTGTGGGTTTACCCGAATGAGGGCAAGGAACACCAGGCCCGCCCAGGGCGGAAAACTGCTTAAAGGCATTCTTAAACCACAAACAATAGCATCAGCGATCTGTGCCTTAAGGACGTGCTCCTGCTGCAGATAACAAGCCCAACCCATCCCTTTATTTCGGCCCATCCCTTCGTTTCCCATAAGGGATACTTTTAGTTAATCGAATATCTACAGAAACAATGCTAATGACTGGCTTGCTGTTAATAAATATGTGGGTAAATCTCTGTTTGGGGCTCTCAGCTCTGAAGGCTGTGAGACCGCTGATTTCCCACTTCATACCTCTATATTTCTGTGTGTGCATCTTTAATTCCTCTAGCGCCACTGGGTTAGGGTCTCCCTGACAGAGCTGGTCTCGGCAAGAAGGAAAAATATATTCAGGTAAATAATGTATATCAAATAATAAACTGTGCTTAACAACAAAAGAAAAGCTTTTTTTAAAATTCAATTTTTATACTGGTAGACCAAGAAAAAAACACCTAACGTCAGTCTTTTTAAAGTGTGCTAGGTGAGTGAGAAACAAGCTAAGAATACTACAGCACCAAAGAGCTCTTCTGGAGAAATTCGTCAGAGATGCCCAAAATCCAGAATACTTTATTTACCTCAGCTTCACTCCTAGACTTGGACTTCTATCTCCCTTCCTGAATAGCTATGGGGGCGTTCTTTGTGTGTGACTGCCTCTTTGATATCCACTTACTCACCATGATGCTGTCTGTTGGATCTCAGACAAATTCTGATGTTTGCTATTCCAGGTGAGGAGACGGTTTGAAAACATCATACTATGTTTCCACATCTTCAAGACAGTCAACAAACTCCCTCAAGTTATCTTTGTGGATAATATAGGAATAATACAGATCAGTGACAAAAAGATGTGGGGAAATTTAGCTCAGTTACAGGCATGTGTGGATTCTCACTTGGGTGAAAAACGTAATTTAAAAGGTTAACAGACCAATGTCGGGCGGGGGCATGGTGGCTCACGCCTGTAATCCCAGCACTTTGGGAGGCCAAGGCAGGCAGATCACCTGAGGTCAAGAGTTCAAGACCAGCCTGGCCAACATGGTGAAAACATGTCTATACTAAAAATACAAAAATTAGCCGGGCATGGTGGCATGCACCTGTAATCCCAGTTCCTCAGGAGGCTGAGACAGGAGAATCACTTGAACCCGGAAGGTGGAGGTTGCAGTGAGCCGAGATCATGCCATTGCACTCCAGCCTGGGCAACATGAGACAGACTCCATCTCAAAAAAAAAAAAATCAGTGTCAAAATAAAGAAAGGCTTCTAATGGCATATGAGAGTTTGACCCTCCCATATTCCACAGGTATCAGCTGAATGAGAATTTACTGTACATTCACCAAATTTGCAATTGGCAAAACACAAGCAGTGATCATTAACATACACATTGGGTGTTACAATCAGAAACTAGAACAATGATCCAACAAAATTAAGAGAATGAAATTGAAGGGGAAAATAAATATAAAAATACATATGTTTCACTTTTTTTCTTTTGTCTTTTTTGTTGTTCTTGTTGTTGTTGTTGTTGAGATGGAGTCTCACTCTGTTGCCAGGCTGGAGTGTAGTGGCACCATCTGAGCTCACTGCAACCTCTGCCTTGCAGGTTCAAGCAATTCTCCTGCCTCAACCTCCCTAGTAGCTGGGACAACAGGCAGGTGTCACCACACCCAGCTAATTACTGTATTTTTAGTAGAGATGGGGTTTCACCATGTTGGCCAGAATGGTCTTAATCTCTTCACCTCGTGATCCGCCTGCCTCGGCCTCCCAAAGCGCGGGGATTACAGCCATGAGCCACCGCACCCGGCCTCACTTTTTCTTCATTTAAAAATCTGCATTAAACTTTAGTGAGTTTTTGGTGGTAGTATTCCTGTTTTTGAACTTAAGTCACATATTTTTATGTCTAGAGGTACCTTGTTATCTACCGTGGTAGTCTGTGTGTACTGGATTTGGCCACTTAAAGGGAGGCTCAAGATATGCACTATCCAATACAGCAGCTACCTAGCCACGTGTAGTTATTTACATTTTAATTAAAATTCGATTTTAAGAAATTTCAGTTCCTTAGAATTACTAAACACATTTCAAGTATTCAGTAACCCCATGTGATGAGTGACTACCATACTGGATGATACGGATACATAGTATCTCCACTACCACTGAAAGTTATATTGGACAGCACTCTTAAACTACTGGAATCATCAGGTGATGACCCTTGGAATACTCAATCAAACAGAAAGTACAGCGAGAAAACGATTTTATTTTCTTTCTTAACCAAATCAAAGGCATCAAGTCAGATTTTACTGTCTTTTCTTGAAAAAAGTAGGCCAGGGGCAATGGCTCACATCTGTAATCCCAGTACTTTGGGAGGCCAAGACGGGCAGATCACCTGAGGTGGGGAGTTTGAGACCAGCCTGACTAACATGGAGAAACCCCGACTCTATTAAAAATACAAAATTAGCCAGGCGTGGTGGCACATGCCTGTAATCCCAGCTACTCAGGAGGCTGAGGCAAGAGAATCGCTTCAACCAAGGAGGTAGAGGTTGCCGTGAGCCGAGATTGCGCCATTGCACTCCAGCCTGGGCAACAAGAGCGAAACTCCATCTCAAAAAAAAAACAAAAAGAAAAAGAAAATGTATACACTCACACAAACACACACATAGACACAGACACACACACACACATAAATATATACACATACAGATAAATTTAACAAAGACCATTTGTGACCTGTATAGCCTAAAATGCTACCTGGCCCTTTATAAAAAATCTTTGCCAACCCCTTGACCAATAAGTGTTTTCTTATAAATGACTTTTATCTTTTAATTTGAATATCAAATTAAAAGACATTAAGAAAAATTCTGTAATGCTAAATTTAAATTGGAACACAGTTACAATGAACAATTCTTAAATTGCTTTACATGTATACTGAGGCTGAATAAGTAAGTAAATGGATAGTGGAAGCTAGGTTTCTCACCATTGGAAAGTGATGATATGGAAAAGCAGGAAGGTTAGAATAAATCAACATAGTACTGGATTAGAATTAGAACATCAGTATGAACTGGTGTTCAGGTTAATGTGGATGTAGAGAAATACAAAATACTATATGCTATATACGTAGGTTAGTATAATATATATGCATGTATTTCCTAGCTTTGTCAGCTGAGTCAGCCTAAGAGCAGTGACATCCCAGGAGCAATGAGCATATTAAGAACCTAGATCTTCTAGAGCCAGAAATACCATTTGACCCAGCAATCCCATTACTGGGTATATACTGAAAGGATTATAAATCATTCTACTATAAAGACACATGCACACATATGTTTATTGCAGCACTGTTCACAATAGCAAAGACTTGGAACCAACCCAAATGCCCATCAATGATAGACTGGATAAAGAAAATGTGGCACATATAAACCATGGAGTACTATGCATCCATAAAAAAGGATGAGTTCATATCCTTTGCAGGGACATGGATGAAGCTGGAAACCATCATTCTCAGCAAACTAACACAAGAACAGAAAACCAAACACCACATGTTCTCACTCATAAGTGGGAGTTGAACAATGAGAACACATGGACACGAGGAGGGGAATATCACACACCAGGGCCTGTCAGGGGTGGGGGGCTATGGGAGGGACAGCATTAGGAGAAATAGCCATGTAGATGATGCGTTAATGGGTACAGCAAACCACCATGGCACGTGTAAACCTATGTAACAAACCTGCACATTCTGCACATGTATCCCAGAACTTAGAACTATAGTAAAAATAATAATAATAAAGAACCTAGATCTTATTTGCTAATATACTTTTCCTGGGGAAAAGAACTGATTCTAGAACTGGGGCTGGGAAAATACAAGCATCTATAGCCTGGAGCATTTGATTTTATTTATTTGTTTATTTATTTATTTTTGAGACAGAATTTCACTCGCTGCCCAGGCTGGAGTGCAATGGCGCGATCTCAGCTCACCGCAACCTCCACCTTCCGGGTTCAAGCGATTCTCTTGCCTCAGCCTCTGAAGTAACCAGGATTACAGGCACCCACCAACATGCCCGGCTAATTTTTGTATTTTTAGTACACACGGGGTTTCACCATGTTGGCCACGCTGGTGTTGAACTCCTGACCTCAGGTGATCTGCCCGCCTTGGCCTCCCAAAGTGCTGGGATTACAGGCGTGAGCCACTGCGCCCGGACTGGAGCATCCTGTAGTATCAAAAATTAAGGAAGTATTTCTAAAAACGAAAGAAAGGAGGCATGTCAAAGGGACAAAAGACCAAACTAAAAGAGCTCCCAATCACCACAATTGAAACAAGCTGAGCAACAAAATAAATACACAAGAAAACCAAAAAGTTTATTTAAATACCACTCACTCCAGGAAGTGGAGCCGAATTTTTCCACTCCTCTAGTTTCAGCAGTACTCAGTGGCTTGCAGCCAAAGAATGGCATATGGAAAGGAAAGGAAAAAGTAACTTTACCATGAAGAACCTAAAAAAACACGATAGAAGTACCCCGATATGATGTAATAAGAAAGCCACATCACCTCTGTGATATTCTTCCCAAGGACTCATAATCTCAATCTAACCATGAGAAAAGCATCAGACAAAAGCAAATTGAGAGACATTCTACAAAATACCTGACCAATACCCCTCAAAACTGTCATGGCCATGAAAAACAATGAAAGACTGAGAAACTGTCAGGGACTAAACAAATACAAGGACCAAAGGTAATGTGGTATCTTGGAGGAATCATTAGTGAAAAAAAAAAAGTGAAATCCAAATAAAGTTTGGAGATTAATTAATAGTAACTGACTAATGTTAGTTTCTTAATTGTGACAAACGGACCATAGGATGTTAATCATAAGAAAAACTGGGTGAAGTGTATGCATAAACTCTGTACTACCTTTGTAGCTTATCTATAAATTTAAAAATATTCTGAAATTTAAAAGTTTACTAAATATTTTGACATTGAAATAGAAATATCAAAGTGACCTTGTAATTTAAACATAGACACATATATGCATGAATACATATGCATCTATATTTTCTACCTCTTTCCATCAAAAGGTCAAAAGCAATGACATCCCAATATCAATGAGCATGCCTAGCAACCAGATTTGGTCTCTAAATACCATTCCCACAAAAAGAAAGACAGGCTACTCAGCGAAGTACTGATTCCAGGACTTGGAAAGGAATGTAACAGGAAGCCTACATCATATTGTGCCAGAAACCAAGAAAGTTTTAAAGACTAATAAGGTCATGTCAAAATTATACAGCAATCAAGGACTCCTACTAGACAAATCTAGGACAATTTAAACATCAAAAAGAATAATGACTGCAATTGACTGAAACATGAAAATTTAAAAATCGTAAAGACTGATACTCAAAAAAGAAAAAGAAATCATCACCAATAACAGAAACAACTCATTTATCACCACCAGCCCTTAAGCTAAAAATGGGCAATTAAAGAAAGATAACTAAGCTTTTATCCTGCCTCTTCAGTAGTAACTATATTTCAGGGTAACCAAATAACATCAGTTAATGAGGAAAAGTTTTTCTTTTTTTCTTTTTTAATTATACTTTTAAGTTCTAG